>NC_000020.11:1429971-1581486 GCF_000001405.40 Homo sapiens | reverse complement strand
CAAGTGCCTTTACTGGGAGTCAAGGTGGAGGACACAAGCAAAAACACTTTTACTAGAGTGTTTCAATGTCACTAGGTCACAGTAGGGGAAGACAAGAAGAGGAATTGTGGCAGGGACCAGCTTTAAAATACTGGTTACCTGGTCACCTGGGCAGGGTGCTCACAGCTTGTTTGTGGGATATTGAAGCATGATTTTTAAAAAATGTACACATAACTGGATATCTTTATTTCTTCATACAACTTTGAGTTGCCATATAGCATCCTTTCATTTCCACCTGAAGCACTCCCTTTAGCATTTCTTGTAGGCAAGGTTTAATGGTCATGAACTCTGTTAGCTTTTGTTTATCTGAGAATATCATAATTTCTCCCTTGTATTTGAAGGACACTTTGCCAGGTATAGAATTCATGATTGACATGTTTTTCCTCTTTCAACATTTTGAACTTACCATCCCCCTATCTTCTGGCCTTCGGTGCATTGCATAAGAGCTGAGCTGAAAATCTTATTGAGGGTCTCTTGTATGGAAGAAATCGCTTCTGTCTTGCTGCTTTAAGGAGTCTCACCTGGACTTTAGGTGTCAACATTTGGATTATAATGTGTCTTAGTGTGGGTCTCTGAGTTTATTTGTGGGTTCAACTTGCGTTTCTTCTGTGTCTTCAATTTGTAGATTCCTGTATTTTAACAAGTTTGTGAAGATTTTTGTCCACTCTGTTTTCATATAATCTTCTATTCCTTTCTCTCTTTCTCTTTTTTCCCCCTGGAACTCTAGTAAGGTGTATGTTGATACATTTGATAATGTCTCACAATTCCCTTAGATTCTGTGCTCTATACTTTATTCTATTTTCCACCCACACCTCAGTCTCAATAATTTCAATTATTCCATCTTCCAGTTTTCTGATTATTCTTCCACCGGCTTATACCCATTGGGGGGACCCCTCTAGTGAACTTTTAGTTATTGTACTTTCAATTCCTAAGTTTCTGTTTGATTTCTTCCTATAATTTCTCTTTCTTTACATTCTCATTTTGTTAAGACATTTATATTCCTTTAGTTCTTGGTCCGTTATTTCCTTTACCTCTCAGCATTTTTAAGGCAGTGATTTTAATATCTGGGTCTAGTATCAGGGTGGAGCTAATACATCACAAGGGTGCTTATAAGAAGGAGGAAGATTAATTCTTGGAGAAGGACATTGAAACATCCTTGTATTCCAGGATGTTTGCAGGTGAAGATGCAAGAGGTTAGAGTGGTGGGAAGATGTAACTGTGAGAAAGGGATGGGAGAAACCTCTAGAATTTGGAAAGGCAAAAAACAGAGCCTCCAGAAGACACACAGCTCTGCTGAAAGCGCCTTAAAAAATGTAGACATGGAAGGTGTAAAACATGGTGCTTTCATATATGTATACATGTACATATACGTAGTGAAATGGTTATTAAAGTTAAGCAAATGGACACATCCATCATCTCCCATAGTTATGCTGCATGTGTTGTATGTCAACAGCACCTAAAATGTGCTTCTTAAGCAAAAATACTGAATTCAATACAACATTATTAACTAAAATCCTCAGATTGCACATTCATTCTCTGGACTTCTTCCTCAGACTTATCACAATTTTGTGTCTTTTGACCTCCCCATCAACTCCCCCAAGTTCACCCCTAGTCACCACTGTTTTATTCTCTATCTTTGTGTATTTGACGTTCATCATTTCTTCTTCATTGTACCCCAGTAACACTATTTTGGACTTCTAACCTCCAGAACTATAAAATGTTACATTTCTTTTAACACACTAAGTTTTGGTAATTTGTCACATCAGCATTAGGAAACTTAGGTAATGTGATTATGCTATGGGTGAAAAATTACCAGGGGCTTAAAACAAGGTTATATTTCTACTGGAAGCTACATATTCAGTGTGGATTGGCAGTTCTGCATGCAACGGTCATTCACGCATCCAGGCGATGGAGCAGGCCCTATCAGAGCCTCGTGGTCTCCGGAAGGGAGAAATTGATCCACAGAGGCTCTTGCAGTTAAATGCACAGCCCACAAATTATACCCATCATTCTGCTCATAACTCAAGGGTCTAAAGAAGTCACAGGGCCCCACCCAATCCAGTGATACAAAAAGTGCCACACTCCATGTACCACAGAGTGGAGGCCATAATTGGCAAAACATGGCACTTCCGAGGAGGGCTCAATAGTTCTACTCAGGTCCTCAACCCAAAGCTCTACATTGAAATTGAACCTCTTGGCCAGGCGCGGTGGCTGACACCTATAATCCCAGCAATTTGAAAGGCCAAGGCAGATGGTTTGCTTGAGCCCAAGAGTTAGAGACCACTGTGGGCAACATGGTGAAACTGTGTCTCTAGAAAAAATACAAAAATTGGCCAGGTATGGTGGAATGCACCTGTGGTCCCAGCTACTTGGCAGGCCAAGGAGAAAGGATCTCTTGAGCCTGGAAGATTGAGGCTACAGTGAGCTGTGATTGCACCACTGCACTCCAGCCTGGGCAGCAGACAGAGCAAGACCCCGTCTCAAAAAAGAAAAGAAAAGAAAGCAAACAGAAAGAACAGAAGAAAGTAAGGAAAAGGAAATTGAACCTCTCTGTGCCTCAGTGTTCTCGCTTGTATTACAGTCTTACGTCACAGGCCAGTTGTGAGGGTTAAATGAGATAATACATGTAGTGGGCTGAGCTCAAGGCCTTTTCCTGGTGTGCACCCAGTCAATGAAAGCCATTGATAAACACTTGAGGAAACACAGAGAATCAGGTAAGGATGAAGAAATGACTGCTTTGTGCTCCTTTCCAGGAGTGGCAGGTGAGGACGAGCTACAGGTGATTCAGCCTGAAAAGTCCGTATCAGTTGCAGCTGGAGAGTCGGCCACTCTGCGCTGTGCTATGACGTCCCTGATCCCTGTGGGGCCCATCATGTGGTTTAGAGGAGCTGGAGCAGGCCGGGAATTAATCTACAATCAGAAAGAAGGCCACTTCCCACGGGTAACAACTGTTTCAGAACTCACAAAGAGAAACAACCTGGACTTTTCCATCAGCATCAGTAACATCACCCCAGCAGACGCCGGCACCTACTACTGTGTGAAGTTCCGGAAAGGGAGCCCTGACGACGTGGAGTTTAAGTCTGGAGCAGGCACTGAGCTGTCTGTGCGCGGTGAGTACAGCGTGGGCCTCCTTTGTCCCCTGGTGTGTGACAATAACTCAATAATTACATTATCCATTCTTGGAGCAACAGCCAGGTGTGGTGGTGGCTGAGCAGCCACCCTTTCATGAACTGATGTCACCCTTTCTCCAGATCACATGAGTTGAGGCTTGGAGATGTCATGGCAGTCGCTCGAGGCTCCACGGCTTGTAAATGATGGGACAGAAGGCATCCCCAGTCTGCGGCTCTACAGCTCTTGTGTTTCCAAAGCTGACCCAGCCCTTTGGTTCCACAGATGAGGGAACTCACAATTTGAGTGACTTGTCCAGGCACAGGGCTGGACCTTGCCTTCTGCCTCCAGAGAATGCTTCCCCCTCAGGGTGGCCAAGTCCCTTCTTTATGCAACAGGCAGTCACTGAGACCCCACTGTGTGCCAGGCTCTGCCCTGGATGCTGCGCAAACAGCAGTGAATGAAACAGCCTAAAGCGCTCCCCCACCAAGCTTACATTCTCTTCCCTTCTAATGAGGAGAAATCCGTCCAGGGCATGGAGAGGGTAAATCGTGGTTGTTTTTTTTTTTAATTTAATCTTCAGAAACACCCCACGGGGAAGATTTCTCGGAGGCACATTCACGGTTGAATCTGATGGCTTGGTGGGAGGAGATGCCAATATGTTTGGCATTTGCTGTGGGTCTATTTGGGAAACCCTTCTGTGATTTGGGGACTGAGTCACAGAGTTACCATGGGCTCCGAGCAGAGCTGCATCATCTCAGAATGTCCCTCACCTCAGGAAAGAGGTCCCACAAGTGGGTGACTTAGGGGTTCCCCATATAAGGTAGCAACAATGCTTATGTGGGGTTTCCTGCCAGAGCCCCAAAAGCCTCGTCTTAACTGCTGAATTCTGGCATGTCAGCACAGGAAGGACCTTCAGACCATCCAGCCCAACCCCCTTTACAGATGGGAGACTGAAGCCAAGACATGACAGGGGCCTTGTCCATGGTCACAGGGCCAGTTAGTGACAGAATTGGAGCCAGAGTCCATATCTGAATCGTGGCAGTCTCCTTCCTTCCCCAGCATTAGACGCTGTCTCCATAGAAGAGCCTGGTGCATCATAGGTGCTAGATAAAAGTTCCCCAAACAGAGCCAGGTGTCAGAGAGCCAGCATTTCTCTTTTCATCAGTTTCCCAAATGTTAAGAATGCACCTCACATTCAGATACTAAAGCTCATTGGTGACTAGAAAACTTCTCCCAAATGTAAGCCCTGTCATTTCATATCGAGATTCCACATCAGGACATAGAGAACTGCTCCAGTTTTTTTACAGCTGAAAAATACTCCAATTTATGGAAATACCAAAATTTATTTTACAGTCTTCTGTTGATGGATATGTAAGTTATTCCCAACATTGAGCTACTACAACAATCATGCAGTGGATGACCTTGTACATGTGTCACCCTACTCAGGTGGGAGATTCCCACTGGAAGTGGTGTTTCTAGGTCAGAGGATAGTGTGTTTTCATATTTGAGAATATTGCCTAATTTCCCTTCTAGATGATGTAGCAATCAGAGATTACAGACTTGAGCTACCATGCCTGGCTAATTTTGTATTTTGTAGAGACAGGGTTTCTCCATGTTGTTCAGGCTGGTCTCGAACTCCCAAACTCAGGTGATCCACCCGCCTCAGCCTCCCAAACTGCTGGGATTACAGGCGTGAGCCACCATGCCTGGCCCCACTTCAAACATTTTTAAGACAGTGGTTTTAACATCTGGCTCTAGCATCAGGGTGGACACAATACATAAGAAAGGTCCTTACAAGACAGAGGAAGGAGATTAATTCTCAGAGAAGGACTTGTGAGGATATAAGCAAGAGGTTAGAGTGATGGGAAGATGTAACTGTGAGAAAGGAATGTGGGCAGCCTCTGGAATTTGGAAAGGCAAAAAAACAGAACCTCCAGAAGACACATAGCTTTACTAACAGCTTTTTAAAAAAATGTGTATATGTAAAGCCTAAAACATGATGCTTTCATGTACATGTATGTACATGAAAATGTACATTGCTCAGTAATGACTGAAATCAGCTCCCCACAACCCTTGAACTTAGACAAGGAAGGTGGCTTTATCCTGATTGTGCAGATAATATTGGCAAAGACACTGAAATGCCCAGGTGGTGCCTCCCCAGCCCAGGCAGCCACAGCCAGTGGTGGCTCAGGTGTGACTCAGATCTGCTCACTCCTAGTGAAGTACTCACTCCTCTTTGCCATGCTCTCGGCCTAAATGATGAGCTACATGAGAAAGGAGGGAGGTGGGGAAGGGGGCCAGAGAGCAGCAACTGTGCCAGAGTCTCCTTATAACCAGTGCTATGAGGGAGAAGCCATTTGCTACCTCCTTTAAAGATGAGGACACTGAAGCTCAGAGAGGAGACCTGACTTGGGAGCAGGTCAGGGAGCCAAGGCTGGAACCCCGCAGCCTGACTCACAGCCTTTGTCTTTGTGACACTCAACTGTGGTTTTTCAAGAGTGGAGAAATGCTCCAACCTTCTCTTTCTAAACTCTTGCATTGTTCAGTTCTACAGCAAAAAGCATTAAAAACAAAACAAGAACCCTGTAGGGGTAGGAGGGCCTGTCTTCACACTCCCATCAGAAAGGCCCTGCGCATGTCTCATGATATGCCAAGCCGGTTCCTAAAGGACAGGTCTCAACACACATGAGGCATTTAGGACTCTTCCCCCATGTTGTGTTGTTTCCTCTTCACTCAGCAGCGTCCAATGAGCAGAGTCGAGCCTCCTGCAGCCCAGCAGAGCACGTATCTGCCCGTTCATGGTGCTGAGGACTAAGGATGAGGAGATGAGGCATTTCCTAGAGAGTGTTTGGGGCCCATGTGAGCAAGAGTTGAGATTCTCCCCTCCGGCTGTCAGGAGCCCACTGTCTTTTGCTTATGGCTGCAGGGTAACCAGGCCTGGGCACCCAGGAGGGAGGCTTCTCCCTAACATTGCATGAAGTCTAGAATCTCAAAGGGACAATTGAGGTGGCAGTCAGTGTTGGAGCTCAAGAAGTTAGAACACTTGCTCTGTTAATGGACATAAGTGCTTGGTGGGACACAGGAAATGCCCACTGGGACACATGGAGAATCGGGAGACAGTGCCTTCATTTTGTTCAGCCACGGCATCTTCATCTGTAGAATAGAGACAATCATGGACTCCTTTAGGAAAGTCGTAAGCGTAAGGTTCTCTCTGTAAATCACCTAGCACACTGTAGGCACCCCCAAAGTGAGGTGTTATTTCAAGATCGTGTGATCTTGGGCCAGTCTTGCCTTCCCTTGAGTCCTCGGTTTCCCCATCGGTGAGATGCTGATTATCATGGCCTATTCTGGGTTCTGTGAGGATTGGAGAGGATGTGCACAGAGCCCCTAATGGTGGTGTCATTCAGGTTATTACTGAGCTTCTGCAGAACTGTCGTTAGGAGAACACAGGCAGTATCCCAGCTGCCTGGGCCTCTTCCCGGCTCTGCCACTTCCTGGCTCTGTGACCTGGGACAAGGTGCTTCACCACCATAGGCCTCGATGTCCTCACCCTTTGATGGTAACACTGACCTCACAGACTGGGCCGAGTCTGAAGGAGTGATATTGTGTAAAATGCTTAGGGCATCAACAAGCACACAGTAAATGCTCAATAAAGGTGAGTTGTGTTAGGGTGAAGCTGTGTGACCTCAGACAGGTCAGGGCATCTCTAGGCCCCAAGTATAAATGGGGTTTGGGTTGGAGTCCAGTGGCTTTCAACCTTGGCTGCTCATTAGAATCATTGGGAAAACTATCAAAAAAAAAGTTTGCAAAGCTGGACCCAGGAACCCCCCTAAAATGCCAATTTAATTGCATCTAATTTGGGCCTGGATATCTAAAGTTCTTAATGGCTCCAGAAGATTCTCATACACAGCCCCCTAGCAAAAGCGGTGCCCCAGGTTTTGGGGCTTTGAGAACAGCTTTTTGGGTCATGGGTGCTTCAAAACAGCCATTCTGGAAACATTCTGGGAGGCCCCAGAAGCCTGAACAGGACCCCTCCCATGCTACTGGCCTCAGGGCCCAAGATAGGAGACTGGGACAAAGCCTGGCTCAGATGCAGCCTCAGGGCTGGGGAACCTTCTGTCTTGAAAACATTTGTATCTAAACACGTGCTGGAGTCCCAGCAAATCCTCACTCCTCAGCCCCAGAAGCCTCCCTCCCTCAGCACTCCCAGATGTCACTGAGGTATCTTTTCCCTCCTTCTTCCAAAATGCTTCCAGCTTCCCCTGTGATCTTACTTGAAAGCCAGTTCGCCAAACATGGTGGTTGCTGCTCCTTTTATCATTTGGGTTTTTTCTGGCAGCTGCGGTGAGTAGGGTTTGAGCCTTTCCTTGGTGTTTGTGTGCCTCTTTGTTCTGTTGCCTAAAGAATAGCTATGCAGCTCCAGAAGCAGTAATGACCAAACCTCATGATTACAGTCACAGGGGTTATTTATTAAGCACCTACTACATGCCAGGCTATGCCCTTGCACTTACCCTCACTCATCTTCCCAGGGTGGGGTTTCTATCTACTTTTGGCCCTTGGCCACCAAGGATCCTCTCAGAGTCTCGCCCTACACAAGGGCTCACATGAGGACCCCCTCTGACAAATAGAAGGAGGATTGAAGTGCTGAGAGGTACAGAGAGAGCAGCCAGCATCAGGCTGCCAAGAAGCCCTCAAAAAATCGGAACTGAAGACAGCCTCTCAGCCTTCTAGGGACACCCATGCTGCTGGTGTCTCAAAGACTTGACATCTTCAAGTGACACCCTCCTTACTGTGCTCTCACATTATTTCACGCATATCAGGGAGCAAGTTAATATTGGCAAAGTCAAACGTATAATATGTGCTTTCTAAGAGGACGGCAGAAGGTTCAAGGTAACAATTAGCAATTTGCAGACACCCTTAAAATTCATCTACATGGAGAAACTGCACTCGTTGTTCTGATTCTCCAATGTGTTTGCTTTCAAGGCCCAGAATAGGTTTCTGTCTGTTGGTGTGGCCTGGGTCTTTGTCTCTTGTAATTAATTAACGATGAAAAAGCTAACCACCTTTGGCTTTCTTAGTACTCAGTGATCCTTGTTTTTCACCCAAACCTGTCCTAACTGAAGATTCAGATTCCCAAAAATTTCCTCTTTTCAAATTTAGGACTTCCAGCAGATTAGAACAACTAACAACAACAGCAAAATGATTGTTAGGAAGGCCAAAGGAAATAGCATTTATCTGAAAGATAAAGAGGTGCAATTTGGGTACACTGAGTCAGTGAAACCCTGAATAGTGTCCCGTATGGCAATACAGGACAGGTTTTTTATAGGGGATTTTCACAAAAGGTTGTTTTTGGAAACAGTTCATTAGCTGGTTGAAAATCCTCAACTGCAAACCCACTCTCATTGGTTATTTCATTAAAGTACTCCAGGTGAAAGAGATCAAAATCCCACGGACCCTGGCTTCAGTTGTTATCCAGGTCTATCTACTGCAACATCCTGTGGCTTGACCTTTAGCAGGTGTGATTCCAATGCTCTTACAAACTCTTGGCTCTACGTTAAAGCTTTATCCTTAATTAATGCCTTTTATTTGACAGAACGAAATATTTGTGAAAAGAAAAATACGGAATGTTTCATATTTTTATAATACCTAAAGAGAGACCTCTGTGTATCTGTAAAGTCTGGGTTAAAGATAGATCTGTGTTTTTTGGGGGAAGCATCTTCTGTGTTTGATCCAGAGCAAAACTGCTTCCATTGCCCCATTGAATCCTGGCGACATCCCAGGAAGTAGAAACGCCGTCCTCCGTCCTCCTGTTTTGCGGATGAGGAGCTGGGGTTGTCAGCCCACCCCTGTCCTGGGCTGAGCAGCCTGGTTGCAGCTCTCACGGTGGTGCCACTTTGCCATTGATCCCTGTATTGGCTTCTATAAATGCCCTCTCTGAGGTTAGTGAGCCTTCCGGGGGAGGACAGCTAGGACCAGTTAATAACATGGAGGGAGACCAATCAGTAATTTTGTTCCTATGCCCAGATTGGTGGAAGTCTCCCTGTGTGGAGAGGACTTTGAACTCAGGCCTGGACTTCCCTCTGGGCCCTGCCCCTACTCACTGTCTGACCATGGCCTGGTTCTCACCTCTAAGAGCTGTTGTGTCCTGATCTGTAAAATGAGAATAAGGACACTGCCTTCACGACATTATTAGAAAGATTAAAAACTAACGTCTCAGAAGGTTCTTAACATGTCAAACGCTTATCATCAGTGATGGTCATCTGAGTCATGTCTCCTGATTATCGATGGTCCTTTTGTAGCCAAACCCTCTGCCCCCGTGGTATCGGGCCCTGCGGTGAGGGCCACACCTGAGCACACAGTGAGCTTCACCTGCGAGTCCCATGGCTTCTCTCCCAGAGACATCACCCTGAAATGGTTCAAAAATGGGAATGAGCTCTCAGACTTCCAGACCAACGTGGACCCCGCAGGAGACAGTGTGTCCTACAGCATCCACAGCACAGCCAGGGTGGTGCTGACCCGTGGGGACGTTCACTCTCAAGTCATCTGCGAGATAGCCCACATCACCTTGCAGGGGGACCCTCTTCGTGGGACTGCCAACTTGTCTGAGGCCATCCGAGGTAGAAGACCCTCACACCCAGCCCAAGCCCACACCTGGCTGCCAAGCCCACTCCCCTCTCCCCAGGCTCCAGAGCTTGAAAGGCCTGGAATCTAATTCCTAACTGTGTTGTCCACCTCCCATGCACCTAGGTGAGCCGGTCACTTACTATCATTTTAATGGCAGCTGTCAGGGGACCAGCAACCATGTGCCAAGCTCTGGGCTACAGAGTTTCATTTATTTCACCAAGAGCAACTACAATTAGTGAGCACCTACTAGGAGCCAAATCACTATGTGCTCGGCGATTTCACTGATTTTGCTACAGTTCTTACATTCCAACTGCATGCCAGGGGTTGTGCTTGTAGATTTCACTCATCCTTAGCCTAGCAGCAGCTAACAGTCCTTGGGCACCTACTGTGCGCCAGGCACTGTGCTTAGTAATTTCACTCATATGCAACGAGTGCCCTCAATGTCTGAGCACCTGCTGCCTGCCTAGCACTGTCCTGGTGATGCCCTCACTGTGTTGGTGGGAGCTACGTTATTTAGCCCTCCCTGTGATCTGTCTGTGCCACAAGATCAGAGCTTCTGCCCTGTGCTGTTTCAGTTCCACCCACCTTGGAGGTTACTCAACAGCCCATGAGGGCAGAGAACCAGGCAAACGTCACCTGCCAGGTGAGCAATTTCTACCCCCGGGGACTACAGCTGACCTGGTTGGAGAATGGAAATGTGTCCCGGACAGAAACAGCTTCGACCCTCATAGAGAACAAGGATGGCACCTACAACTGGATGAGCTGGCTCCTGGTGAACACCTGTGCCCACAGGGACGATGTGGTGCTCACCTGTCAGGTGGAGCATGATGGGCAGCAAGCAGTCAGCAAAAGCTATGCCCTGGAGATCTCAGCGCACCAGAAGGAGCACGGCTCAGATATCACCCATGGTGCGGTTACTTCCCATTTTTAAATTTTGTCTTTTTCTTTAATGTTAAAAGCAATATTCATGCTTGTCATAAAATAAGCTAGAAGTCTATAAATATAAAGTAGAATTTTAACGTCTACATTAAAATCCTACACTCCATGGGTCACCACTACTTAGAAGGTTCAAGGTAACAATTGGCCATTTGTAGACACCCTTAAGCCCCATCTACCAGGAGAAACTGTGCGTCAAGTCTGATGCACAACTTGATAGATATTTTGACATAAATATACATTAAAGGAAAAAAGAGAGAGGGAGGTGATCCGTTTGTTTATGAAGTCCTGTGTCTCGCCTTCTTCTGCATTTCTCGCCAGCACAGCACCTTGCCTTTTACACTTTCTAACCTCTACCTTGTCCCTATTCTATCCTAAACTTTTCCATCCGCATCTGTGACCTCAGCCACCAGTCTCCAGCATCTGCTCTATAAATTTCAGAAAGACAAGTGAAGTTTAAGCCTGGACAGACCCCCAGGTGACCTGGTCACAGCACAGGCTTCTTTTGTGTTCTGATGGTGATATTTGACCAACAATAATCACAACCACTCTGCACATTTACTATATGCAAATTTCTGTTCATCTCTGATCTCCTTTCCTGCTTCAAACACCCAGTGAGCTTGGAGTTTTACCAAAGGGGAAACCAGGACTTAGGAAGTAATGAGGGATGTTGTTGAAGACTTCTTGTCATTAGACCAGGTTATTGGTCCAAAGTAATGAAGGTAAATCTAGTCCCTGAGGACAGGCTCACTACCAGGCTATAATGGGAATTTGTGCTAATTAGAGAAACTTTCCCTTTCTGCTGCGCTTTGTCCCAAGGACCCAAATTTGGCCAGTGTTCCCCCTCTCTATAACCAAAATATGTCTTATTTCCCTCTCTTTTAATACCAGGAGGGGTCCCTCTACTCCAGTCGAAAGACAATCTTTGAGTGCTTTGACCCGAATACATCCTCCCACATCTCAGGGTCCCACAACTTCCCCATCAGGGCCCAACCCCAGCATAGAAGCCATTAAAGCTGACATTCAACATCCTTTGTGATTCTGCTACTCTTCTAATGATGGCTGGGGCCCAATCTTCTATTCTTTCTGCCCTGAGGCTCCAGGAAATAAGAATAAGGACTCAGGTTCCTTCCAAAACACCCTATGATGTTTGCGTCATCTCCTGGGTCAGTGCTGAGTCACGGATTTGTTCATGTCCCTGCCTGCCAGAAGAGGAAAGACACGAAATAGAAGACAAACAATGTCCCCAATCATCAGAGATGTGTGGAAGGTGCATAGTCACGTCCACTGAAAACTTGCTCACGCATGCACCTGCAGTTGCACATTGAGGGATCATGTGATCAAGGACATTTTTCACAAAACCAGTGTCATTGTCCACTTAAATTTTAAGTGTTCAAATCACTAAATTTCATAAAGTTATTAAAATAATTTCCTCATATCATCTAAAATGGAGCATACATTCACATTTTACCAAATTTTTTAGAACCATTTTCCTGTGTGTTAAATTTGGTTTTAATTTATCTTTAAATGCTTGTGTTTTCCTTTGAAAGATCTGGGCCCCAGGGATATTTTTGGATATTTTATAATCATAGATTCAATGTCGTTAATAGTTTAGGGTTATTCACATTTTTCGTTTCCTATTGAGTGAGCCCTGGTAAGTTGTGTTTTGCATAACTTTTGGTCCATTTCATCTAAGTTGTCATATTTATGTGTGTAGAGTTGTTCATAATATCCTCTCATAACCCTTTTGGTGTCTGCAGGGTCTGCAATGGTATCCCACGTTTCATCCTGATACTAAAAATGTGTCATTTCTCTTTTCTTTTTCATCAGTCATGCTAGAGTTTTTTCCCATTTTATTGGTGTTTTCAAAAGATTGACTCTTTGTTTCAATGGGTTTTTGTATTGTTTTTGTGTTTTCAGTTTCATTAATTATCTGCTCTCTTCTCTCTTTTTTTTTTTAAATTAATTCCTATCTCCTGCTTTCTTTGGGTTTACTTTGCCCTACTTTTTGTAGTTTCTTTAAGTGCGGGATTTATATTTATTGACTTGAGACCTCCTCTTTTCTATGTCCTCCCTTCATCACTTTCTGTGGCTGGGGGCTGGTATTTGGGCATAGAGTCCCTGCTGTTTGGCTGCTGGGCTGTTCCTCAGTCCTCAGGTTCTTACCTCGCTCTTCCACCTTGGAAGTTCTCCTATGCCTGCTCCTCATGATATTTCTTGGGTTCATAGTTGTACTTCTCAAGGAGGCACAGGATGAGATGAGTCTGTACCATCTGGACAAGGTTGAGTCTTTTCTTAGACTTCCAACCACCCACTGGGGCTGAGAGAGGGCTGCCATTTTTGGGTTCTTTCAGTGTGTCTGACATGGCATCCTGGCACATATGCTAAGTCTGGAAATGCATTTTAGGTTGTCTAGGCTGGCAGGCAAACTGCAGGATGCCTTCTGTGACGTGCTGCATCAGTGGCATGGGAGCCTAGTGAGAGACTGTGCCCTAGGGTTAGGTGAGTGTTCCCTTTTGACTCAGCCATTTTGCAGTTTGGCATTCTCTCTTCAAGCAATATTTAGGGCCTGGATTGTGTAGAATTTACTTTTCCTTTTCTGTTTCTTCTTTTGGCTTGGGGAGGATATTTATAGCGACAAGTAGCGATGCCACTGCAATTGTCCCCAGTAACTCTGAAGTCAACTGACAATCTTTGAGTGGTTTGACCCAAATGTCTCCTTCCACATTTCAGGGTCCCACAACTTCCCCATCAGGGCCCTATCCCAGCATAGCAGCCATTGAAACTGAGATTCATGCTCCGCTGTGATTCTGCTACTCTTCTATGATGCCCAGGACCCAATTCTCTATTCCTTCTGCCCTGTGGCTCCAAGAAATAAGAATCTGCAGTGCTGCCAAGAAGTCCTCTGGCTTCCAGCTGAACTTTAACTCATGATGAATCACTCTTAGTTTCTCATTGCCTTCCTCCCAAGAGTTCATGCCCAGCAACAGCTAACACCTTAGTTCTTATAACGACCATTTCCCAATCTGTTTTCAAAAGGCTAATGGCAAGGAATTTCCTTCCTGTGGTAACACTATCCCAGTTTAGTGCCAGTGAAAGTGTTATCAATCGCAACACAACAGCAAGTCACGGCTTCTCCAGTCCCATTCACCACCAGCCCTGGGGTCCTCATTGCTAGCTGATGAGTAATCAGATTCCCAACTTATATTTTAGAGTCTTCTTTCCAGACCACTTCCCAAGGACAGTTTCTCTGGGAGGCCACCTGAGGATGCATAAAGCAATGCAGGAGGCATCCTAGAGTGCTGTCAGGGTCAACATGCCTCAGGAATGAGGAGGCAGGAGTGTAGGAGGAGGGAGGTGCTGAGCCACAGTGCAGGCAGTACAAAGATGCAGCTGCTCTTGCAGAGAGGCAAAAGGCCGGAGGGTCCTGTAGATTTTTTTCAAATTGAGGGGAAGGGCTGGCCCTTCATATTCCCAATGCAGTCTATCTCTCATGTGGGCTGCCCCTTAGAAGGAATAAACTTGGGCAGTGCAGCTCTCCTCAAAGGAGAGAAAGCCCCAGAGAGCCACCCATCTGAGAACTGCCGGCCTGCAACACTCCAACACTCCAGCGGCTATAGATGCTGAGGTCTCCATTCCTTCCTTAAGGACCCACCAGCACCATTTTATTTTAAAAAAAATTTTTTTTAATACCTTTGTTACTTTTAACATCCAAAACCCCTTATTTAAAAAATGCAAACAGTCCCAACATGAGCTTCCGTAGATCTGACTCTCTGTGTCCAACAGAAAGATTTCAGATGACATCTGCACTGGGGTTGAGGTAGGAGAGATGATGTCTGAGGCCCTTCCAAGCCCGAGGCACATTCCCTGACTCACCAGGGAATTTTCCAGCCAGCAGGTTTAATTGGGTCTTGTCCCTGGAGGGCTCCCTGAGATCATGAGAATATGGGGTCCTCTCCCTGCCCCTGGGGCTAAGAAGGGCAGCATGCAACTCTCTCACTCTGAATCCATCCTCACACCACCTGCCCACCCTTTACTAATCATTCTCATGATCCTGGAGTGTTGGACTTGTCTTGGACTCAGGAGTCACCCTTGGGGACATAATGATGGGCTTCCCTAGGTTTGGATCCTACTAATCTCCTGACACTCCCTAAACTCTCTGGCCTCAGTTTCCCCATCAGAATGGAATAATAATCCCTGCCCCATGGGCGTGTGAGGATCAAGTGAGGAACCCAGTTGCCACATATATGAATACCTGAGCACACACTCTCTCCACCTTTTCCCTCCAGGAGGATAAACTGGCAGCCTGGGACAGGGTGAGTGAGAATGAGGAGCCACTTTCCCTGGCCTTTGCTTTCGGCTGGAGTCAGGAAAGCCAGAGCAGGATGCAAGTTCAAAAGCTTCAGAGGATTGATGGGCCCAGGTAGCCTCAGATGGGGTAAGTGGAGGCCCCTGGGATGAGCTCCCAGGTGGCCCCTCTCATGGCTCCTCCTCTTCCCTGATTTCCAGAAGCAGCGCTGGCTCCTACTGCTCCACTCCTCGTAGCTCTCCTCCTGGGCCCCAAGCTGCTACTGGTGGTTGGTGTCTCTGCCATCTACATCTGCTGGAAACAGAAGGCCTGACTGTAAGTTTAGGAGAGGGAGGACTGACCAAGGGCTCCTCCAGAAAGGCAAGGCCAGCAGGAGGGCCCAGCTCACATGCCATGCAGCTTCAGGGTCAGTGGAGTTTACAGAAGGTGACAGGGCTCCCTCAGGATACTCAGGAGTCTCAGGGAACCCTGTATGGGGCTCCCAACCCCCAGGGAGTGTGCAGGAGTTGGGATGGTCAAGGGTATTACAGGAGGTGGGATGCTTCAAGGGGGTTCAAAGTTGTCCCCAGTGGCCTAGGAGTCCCATGGAAAAGGTGGACAGAGGGGTCTAAGTGAGGGCCAACTGAGTGGGTGGTCCCTTGGAGGCCACTGCTGGGACTCCATGGGTTCAAAGTAATCCCCACCGTAGTGTTGAGAATTCCCAGATAGGCTGCTCTGAGGGCTGTTCCTGCTCTGACCTTCTGTGTGCTTGAGTGGAAAGCGGGGAAGAGGGAGCATCAGGACTTGGAAGAAGTGCTGAGCTGGCAGAGTCCTATCTCAGGTCTGCCTGTCCACCCATAACAGGCATCCCAAGAGGAGACCAGCACTAGGGACATATCAGGCTCTCAGGAAACATTTCTTAAATGATGAGCAGATGAATGAATGTGGATGTGTTTTCCAACAGCTCCTTCCTTCCTTCCCTGCCATGTAGGACCCTCAGTCTCTGCTGCCTCCTCCTTTCTTGAGAAGCTCAGCCTGAGAGAAGGAGCTGGCGAGAACCTTCCCCACACTCAGCTCCAAACGCCTCCTCTCCCAGGTCATCTGCCTGCCCACACGCTCCTGTTCCACCTTCACAAGACCATGATGCCCCAAAGCAGTGTCTCTATTCACGGTCCTGAGCAGGGGCCATGGGATTGGGCTCTGGGCACTGACTCATGGCACCTCCCTAGAAGGTGAGAAACACTCCAAATCTAAACACACCAGGACTTCTCCCATCCGTCGCCTTGGGACTGGCCATAAACCACAGACTCTCTCCAGGCTCTCAAGAGTTATCCTGTCTTCTGGATTCCTGCCTACCCCAACTCCCCCAGCCTTGTTGAGGTTCTCTACTGCCTCCTGAATACACATGAACCCCTATACCAATTTTAAGAAAAAAATGATTCTCTTTCCTCTTTGTCCAAGCATCCTATCCCTCAAACCCAAAAAGAAAGAAGCTCTCCCTTCTCTCTCTGTGATGGAGACAGTATTTCTTCTAGTATCCTGCAGCCTTCCCAGTCCTGCTGCTTGTGGTAGAAATGCTGCCACAGCCCAACATTGAGGAGCCCTCGATGACTGCCCTTTACAACTCATATTCAGTTCTGCCTCCAAAATGCATGTGTCCACTTACATGAGATGGTAAATGTTTAACAATGGACTTTCTGAAAGGGAAAAACCAAAAGCTGTTTTGCAGTGCTTGCCAATTTCTCTAGTGTAATAACTCCCAACCTGACCAATTTCACACTGCCAACAGTTAAACAACCAGATTGCAAGATTCCTGAAATTTAACAATTGGTTTTCAGGGCCCAGTCCAAGCCTGCTGCTGGAAACCTCAGAGTTAAATCCCTATTCTCCACACCTCTCACCTCCACCACCCCTCCCTGTCCCAGCCAGCATCATCTCTTTGGGGACCACTCCTCTGGCTTTCATTTTTCAGCCACAGTGATTCTTTGGAAAAGTCAAATCATATCACTTCTCTGCTTCTTCCCCAACACAGCTGCATGGCTCCCGCTCTCCCTCCTTCAAGTCTCTGCTCAATGTCACTTCATTAAAGGCACCTTCTATAAACTACCTTGTATAAAATATTATTTATTTTCTCTATCCCGGCATTCTAATTTCTCTTATCCTAATTAATTTTTCTTTAGCCCTTATTTTGATGAGTATTATGCCGAATACAGGCAGCCCTCACTTTTCATGGCAGTGCAAGATTGCAAAAATGACTGTGCAACCTGAAACCCAGGAAAGCAGTCTCCATAGTCAATCAGAAAAACAATGATCATTCTGTGACCTTTACCATTTTTTGTCAAAATATTAGAAACTCTCACACTCTCAGTTACAAATGTAGAGGACAATGAAAATATAATGAAATAAATATTTATTTGTGCACTACAATTCAAAGCATTAGAAACATTGAGAGTTCAAGTGCTGTTTCTTTGTAAAAATGTATCCAGAGTAGTTGGAAGAGTGCTTGCCTTTTTTTGTATATTTCTAATATGGAGTGATATAGTTTGGCTCTGTGTCTCCATCCAAATCTCATCTTAAATTGTAATCTGCATGTGTTGTGGGATGGGCCTGGTAGGAGGTGACTGAATCATGGGGGCGGACTTCCCCCTTGCTGTTCTTGTGATAGTGAGTTCTCATAAGATCTCAGTGAGTTCTCATGAGATCTGGTTTTTTGAAAGTGTGTGGCAAGTCCCCCTTCGCTCTCTCTCTCTCTCTCCCTCCTGCCACCATGTGAAGAAGGTGCCTGCTTCCTTTTCTCCTTCCACCATGGTTGTAAGTTTCCTGAGGCCTCCCAGTCATGCTTCCTGTTAAGCCTGTGGAACTGTGAGTCCAATTAAACCTCTTTTATTCATAAAATATCCAGTTTCTGGTAGTTCTTTATAGCAGTGTGAGAATGGGCTAATACACGGAGCAAGCATTGTTTCTTTTCATTTGTTTATTTTATTTTTATTTTTTTGAGATGGAGTTTCACCCTTATTGCCCAGGCTGGAGTGCAATGTCGTGATCTTGGCTCACTGCAACCCCCGCCTCCAGGGTTCAAGTGATTCTCCTGCCTCAGCCTCCTGAGTAGCTGGGATTACAGGCATGTACCACCACACCCAGCTAATTTTGTATTTTTAGTAGAGATGGGGTTTCTCCATGTTGATCAGACTAGTCTTGAACTCCCGACCTCAGGTGATCCACCTGTCTTGGCCTCCCAAAGTGCTGGGATTACAGGCATGAGCCACCATGCCTAGCCAGCAAGCATCATTTCTATTATACCTTGGTGTTTTGCCATCTTTCTAAGTTTGGACTAGCTTCCAACATCTTATCCCTTGAATTTTCAATATTGTGGAATCACTCCAGAAGATCCTTTCATGTGAAGTTTTTTGCTGGCATTTCAACCTTTGGGACATCTTCAGCCCTTTTATTACCACTCCTCTCCCATTTGTGGCAGTTTGCGTTTACTACCTCCCTCTGGCTGCCTATCTGAAGTTCCTGCATCAGGGTCTACATTGCCACAGTCAACTATTTGTACTTCTAGAATTCCACTCACATTCAATTTGAACCTCACTTGCAGCATTTTCACTTCTCATTTCTTCACTGCACTTTCATCTTGGTTGCAAAATTCCTCTTTCAATTATTCATTTCTGTAAAATGTCATATGGGCTCATCACTGGGAGGCAAGGAGGCAACCCAACTATAGGATTTGCTGTTTGAGTAGGAGAGCCATAGGGACCAATCACCAACAGACTTTGAAAGACACAACATGACTGGTTACTGATCATGACGAGCTTTTATTACCATGGTGATTTGTGGACTGAAGAGCTAGCCCAGAAGTTTGTACTCTATGCAAATTACATTAAATTTACTATGGCACCTAAATTTTGAGACTTGTGTTGTGGGACTGATGTTACTTAACTAAACTATGGTAAGAGAAATGCATGCATGTCATCACCAAAGTGAGAACTGCCTGTATTTATCTATGTTACGCAAATGGAATGTCAGTTATATCGTGGGGGGTTGGGGGTGGGGGAGGATTATCTGTATCCTCAGTTGCCAGAACTGTGTCTGCCATATAATAGGCTGTCAATTTTTTTAAATGAGTGAATACATCATTGAGGTCATTGGTTTCTACTAGGTGTTGGATTTCAAAAGAAAACTTCTCTTCATTTGATCACTTGGCTTGTGTGCTGTATTCTCAAGCTCTTTCTTTAAAGACTACTCTCTCTTCTTTCTGTTTAAAACATTCCATCAAAAATTCAACATCCTCTAGAAAGTAAGAAAGTGCTAACAAGAAAAAAAAGTCAACCCCAAAACCAAAACCCACAGTGACTGGAGTACATCAAAGAGGCGCAGGAACCAACTGAAAGAGCTCCCAAAGGCCAAAGCTGGAACACTTTCAGCAAAAAAATAAGTAAAGTAGTAATGAGTTATAGTCCAAAGTATAAAATAAATATCTGAGTCCATACTGATATAAATAAATGATTGAATAAATTAATGGGAAAGAAGAGAAGAATCTCCAGTGCAGAAGAGTCCCAGATAATTTATTTATACACTCCACTCTAAAGGAGGTGGAACATAACTTCCACTCCTGAAGTGTGGGCTGTGCACTGCGACTTCTTTGCAAAGAGTACAGCATGGAAAAAAGGAGAAAAAATAACTTTACAGTGGAAAAATCTGACAAATACAGCTTCAGCCAGGTGATCAAGAGTTCATCAACAGTTATAAATCAACATCAAGAATCATAAATCATGTCACTAATATGTACCTTTAATATGATGTGATGAAGATGACACTTTTCCTCTATTACCTTCCCCCCAAAACTCACAACCCCAATCTAATCATGAGGAAAACATCAGACAAATTTCAATAAGGAGGCATTCTGCAACATCGGGCCCAGAACTCCTCAAAACTGTCAAGGTCATCAAAATCAAGGAAAGTCTAAAAAACTGTCATAGCCAAGAGAAGCTTGAGGAGATATGACAAGTAAATGTAACAGGTATCCTGGATGGGATGCTGGAAGAGAAAAACGACATTAGGTAAAAAGAAAAGATCTAAATAAACTATGAACTTTGATTAATCATAATGTATCAATATTGGTTCATTGATTATAATAATGTATCATATCAATGTAAGATGCTAATGATAGGGCTCAATTTTTCTGTAAATCTAAAGCTGTCCTTAAAAAATTAAGTCTATTAGAAAAAATTAACGTCTTGTCCTCAGCTAGGTTTTATTTGCCTCTTGTACCCCGTGGGGAACAATGCAAGGAAATGTGCGGTAGGGAGACTTTGTTGATATTCCAAAGTTTTATCTCACTTCAAAAGCCTGAGGTTTCCTTTCCTCTCGTCCTTCCTCTGTCCACTACCAGAGCTCACCCCAGATCTAGGCACTCAGATCCCAGAGGAAGTGGCTTCTCAATCCCCCGTGATGCTCACCCTAAACTTTTCCCATTAGTAAAATCCAGGTCAGACCAAGTGGGATCAGAAAACTTTGGGTTATGTGGGTGAGCTGGGATAGCTTTGAGGACCTGACTATGAGTGAGTGAATAATGTCCTGAGCCCAAGTCTTCACAGGAACAAGTTGTTCCCATGAATTGTGTAATGGATGCTGAGAGGCACCTGGCTGTGGAGATGGTCCTCAGCATCAGCTCTATTTGCGATTGTCTCAGCTGAAGGGAGTGCCCTTGCTTAGGTCGTATCTGGTAACAAACCACATCTCATTGGACTCATCAACCTAGTCGTATAAAGGCCCAGCTCTCTTATCCTAACTCAGAGCAACTCTGGAGGAATATCCTAGTACCAGGCTCCATGCAAGGTCAGCTGAGGTCTTCAATGGGACTTCATTGCAGCCCAGCTTCTTCTTCTACCCAGTCCTGCTTCCATCTTCTCCCGTCCACAAGTGTTGATCCTAAAAGTACTCCCTGAAAGATAACCTGCTTGTTCATCTTCACCCCAGAGTCTGTCTCCCAGGGAACCCAACCTGGGACAGTGAAGCTATGCTACGTATCAGAAAGGTGGGGATCCCTTCATCTCTAAGGGAGCAAGTCAGTCACAGAAGAAAGCCTTGTTTATAGTACCTCCAGATTAATGAGAATCCACAAAAATGTTTATTCAAGAGAGGGACATAATTAAATCTATGTTGTAAAAAGACCAGTCTGGCTGAAGAAGGAGAAAGAGATTATAGGGGGCAAATAAAAATGGGGGTACCCTAGTGAGAAGGCAATTGTTCTTATTCAGGCAAGAGATGATGATAGAGATGGAGAAAGAGATTAATTCAGAAGGGATTTAGGAGGTAAATCCAATAGGGCCTGGTAGGGGCAAGATAGGAGTGTGAAACTATGCCCCCAAAGAGTTAAAGAAACCAGTCACTAAGAAATTCTTGAGTTTACAGGATAGCAGATAAGAAAAAAAAAAAATTGCTAAACTGCCGAAACTTCCTCCACTTGTAGGATAACAAAACTGACTAAAATCTGTTGGAACCAATATGGCCAACTGGAGTTTGCTCAGAATGAGCTTGCTGATGTCACAGCCTGAGTTTCTACCACGTATTTCATGATGACGCCCCAGGGTTTTGCACATGGGAGCCGTGAAGAGGCATAGAGAGATAACTGTACATGCCCAAGGACTTTCCAGACCTCCCCTTTCCTTTCACAAATCACATACTAATCCCAGAATCCAACCCCTAAACTTTTGCTAATAAAACTACTGCCTTGAAGCCAGCACATGGAGCTAGATTTGAGGTAGACTTCTGTCTTCCTGTTAGTCAACTTGCAATAAAAAGCTTTTCTTTTCTCAAAAGCCTGGTGTCACAGTATTGGCTTCTAGCACATCAGGCAGCAACCCCCTTTCACTTGGTAACAAGTGGATAAGTGAGGGTATAGAACATGAGTCCCTTCCTGGTTTGACAAACTGCTTAGATGATGGTACCATATACAAAACAGGCATGGTGTGGGAGAAGATAAGGTTTGTGAGTGCAGATCTGAAACTCAAACTTGAATATTTAAGGTATACAAAGAGGCCAGGCTCAGTGGCTCACACCTGAAATCCCAGCACTTTGGGAGGCTGAGGCAGGTGGATCATCTGAGGTCAGAAGTTCGAGACCAGCCTAACCAATATGGTGAAACCCTGTCTCTATTAAAAATACAAAAATTAGCCAGGCGTGGTGGTGGGCGCCTGTAGTCTCAGCTACTCGGGAGGCTGAGGCAGGAGAATCACTTGAACTCGGGAGGCAGAGGTTGCAGTGAGCCGAGGTCATACCATTGCACTCCAGCCTGGGCAACAAGAGCGAAACTCTGTCTCGAAAAAAAAAATACATATATATATATATATACAAATGAAGATGTCAAGAAGGTTGCAGAATATACAGGTCTGTATCATGGGCCCAAGATTACTCAGCTCTTAGGAGGTGCGTTCAGGATTCTAGCCTAGATTATATCTGATTCCAAAGCTGGCACTCTTGGATACTGACCCGTGAGTACTGACTCTCCAAGGAACTTAGAGTCTAATGAAAGGTGAGAAGATTCCTCAGAGTAGGGGAAGGGGAGGATGATGGAGGCTGGAGGAATGTTCCTGTCTAGTTCCAAGCAGGGGCCATGGATAGGAATTCCTTTGTGGAATTCATCATTTCAGAACAACGGGATAGGATGATGACATCACAAGGGGATGGGGACTCTTGTCGTCTCAGAGAGAACGTGCCAGCCTGGCTCTGCTTTCTTTTCCTAGAGGGTCTAACACCTCTCCCGGCCCTGACATCTAGCTGGTTCCTGAGGAGGAGGCAGAAGTCATGAGGAGGCAATGGGGAAACAGCCATGGCAGCCAGTGCCTGCCTGTGGATGCTTGGACATTAAAGGGTCACCAGCTGAGTGTGGGCTGAGTGTCCCTGAACACAACATTTGTGCTTAGGAAGAACCCATTCCAGAGCTGAGAGAGAAGGATGCCAACATGCTGCTTCCTCCCTCTTTCTGGGGGCATTTCTTCTGCCCCTCCAATCCCATCTCTGAGAGCTGGTCCCAGGTCCAGCCCAAGCAGGAGAGGCAGCCCTCACCTTCCCAGGTGTTTGTAGGCATGTTACTCTCCCTCCTAGAGAGTGTTCCCCGCAGCTCCGCCTTCCCTGCAGGCCTCCTCCATCCTCTAAAGCACAAATCATCACCACCTGCACAACTCGAATGTCTTTCTCAGCCATGCCTGATTCCTCTGCAGGAAGGAAAAAGGAAGCAGTTCCTGGTAGTGTATGGAGGGACCCACAGAAAAGCCAAGAGCCCACAGCAGATATTGCTTGTTTTTTACCTCTAACTACTCTGGAGTGCAAGAAAGGGCATCCATTGTAAAGTCCAACTCTTACCAAGTGGGTGAGGCTATAGACATCTTGTCTCTTTCTTCAGCTGTGCAGCTCAGACAGGCCCAGATGTTGAGCTCATGCAGGAGCTAGACCCATACCTGCGCATCATGTGGATGAGGCCTTTGTCTAGCCTATGTGTCTGAGGCTCCTAGATAGGCAAAGGCCATGAAGTTGGGGAGAACCTGTGAGATGGGATGAAACTCAGGAAGGAGTATAAGGCTGTGGGTGTCAAGCCCCCCAGCCCCAGCAAAGCTAAATACTTCCAGCAGCAACTTCCTAGCTTGAAGCAACCTTGTCTGTTCAATTTTATAATCACAAAGGAAAAAGTGTCCCAGTCCCCTGGCCTTTCCTCTCATCACAATCCCCTTCCTCTGACATCACAGAGGCAAGAACTGTCTTCTCTGCTCGGAGCACTGAGTCGAGGGCATCTCCAGGACAGGCATTCAGGCAGAGCAAGCTCCAGGTTTCACCACAATGCCCATCCCTGCCTCCCCACTCCACCCACCTCTGCCTTCCTTACTGCTGTATCTGCTGCTTGAACTGGCAGGTGAGTGGGGCCTCAGTGTATGTGTGTGGTGGGTTCTCCCCTCTGCCTGTTTAGTGAACTCTCCCTCACCTGTTCCCATAGAATTTCTTTTGGGAGGGTTTTCTCCATCTTATCCCAGAACAGGCAGAACTCAGAAGACTACACTGGGATGGTCCCCAATTCTGACAAAGTCTCCCGGTGGCCATGTCTGTTGCAAATCTCTTTGCTCAGGTAAACGACTCACACCTATGGTCACAGGGCGGGGCACAGCATCCATCACAGCTCTCACCCTCCAGCCTCTGGAGGGTGTAATTTATTTTATTTTATTTTTACCTTTACTTATTTTTTTGAGACAGGGTCTCACTCTGTCACCTAGGCTGGAGTGCAGTGGTGCGATCTTGGCTCACTACAACTTCCACCTCCTGGGCTCAAGTGATTCTCGTGCCTCCAACTCCCAAGTAGCTGGGACTACAAGCACGCGCCACCATGCCCAGCTAATTTTTGTCTTTTTTGTAGAGATGGGGTTTCACCATGTTGCCCAGGCTGGTCTCAAACTTATGAGCTCAAGAGTTCCACCTGCCTCGGCCTCCCAAAGTGCTCGCATTATAGGCGTGAGCCACCACACCTGGCCCCTGGCAGATTTTACACTTCTTTCTGTGAAATTCAGTTTTTTATTTCTCTGTTGCCACTGCATTTGGCTGCTCTTAAAAAGTACTGCAAACTGGGTGGTTTAAATTACAGAAATTAATTTTCTCACAGGTCTGGAGACTAGATATTCAAAATCGAAGTGTGGGCAGGGTTGGTTCTTTCTGAGGACTGTGAGGTTGAATCTGTTCCATGTCTGTCTCTGAGCTTCTAGCAGTGGTAGCCTCAAACATTTGTTGGATGGCAGGTGGCACCACCCTCCCTGTATCCTCACATCATCTTACTCCCATGTATGTCTGTCTCTGTGTCCAAATTTCCACTTCCTATAAAAACATCCACCATATTGGATTAGCACCCACCTCAATGACCTCATTTTAACTTGATTTCCTCTGTAACTCTATTTCCAAGTAAGGTCACATTCTGAGCTACTTGTGGTTAAGACTTCAACATATATTTCGGAGGCATACAATTCAACTCATAATAGCCTCAACATGAAATTTTAATAACTTAGATATATTCTTTGTTGGTTTATGTACTGCATTTATATCTGTCTGTGCTTTATACATAGGAAGGGTAACTATAAAGCTTCCTCTTTTTATTCAATGGAGAGTTAAGGATGACTAAAAATATTTAGGTAAAAGCTAACTTAAGATACTTAAAGCTAGTAAAACTCACTTGAATTTTTAACTGTACTTATTGGGTGAGGTACACAGACTGTAAGGTGACTCCCAACTATCCCACCCTTATGTAATCTCAGTTGTGTGTGACATGCTTCTATCTGATAGAATATGGCCAAAGTGATGCACTGTCTCCCCCTTGAGTATGTTAGGTTGTGTAAGATCTATCACACTAGAGTTTTTTTGCAACTTCTGGCCTTAAAGAAGCAAGGAGCCATGTTGCAAACTGCCTGTGAGAAGGCCCACATGGCAATGAACTGAGGGAAGCCCCTAGAAGTTGAGGGCCTCAGTCCTACAACCACAAAGACCTGAATTCTGCCAACAACCTGAGTGAACTTAGAATGAACACTTCCCCAGTCAAACCCCCAGATGAGAACACAGCCCAGCTGGCACCTTGAGTGGAGCTTGGTGAGACCTTGAAGCAGAGAACCCAGCTAAGCTATATCTGAATTACAAATGGACAAAAATTGTGAAATAATTAATATGTGTTGTATTCAGCCTCTAAGTTTGTCGTAATTTGTTATTCAGCGATAGAAAAGGAATATACCGAGTAAGATGGCAAAACCATTCAAAATAAAGTCCTCCATTGTTTTGTAGAACTTATTTGTTTTTAAAGGTGTACAACTTGATGGTTTTTTAAATTTTATCTTGGTTTTAATTGACAAATAATAATTGTATATATTTATGTGGTATAATGTGATGTTCTTATACATGTCTACACAGTGAAATGATCAAATCAGGCTAATTAACATATCCATCACCTCACATACTTATCACTTCTTTGTGGTAAGAACATTTAAAATCTACTCTTTTAGCTAGTTTGAAGTATGCATTAACTATAGTCACCATGCTGTGCAATAGATCACCAGAACCTATTCCTCATGTCTAACTACAACTTTATAGGCTTTGACCAGCATCTCCCATTTCCTTGTCCAACTCTCCACCACCCCAGACCCTGGTAACAACATTCTATTCTTTACTTCTTTGAGTTTGACTTTTTTGGATTCCACATATAAGCGACATTCCACATATAAGCAAGATCATGTGGTATTTGTCTTTCTGTGCCTGGCTTATTTCACACCATAATATCCATGGTGTCATAAGTGACAGAATTTTCTGATTTTCAAAAGCTAAATAGTATTCTACTGCATGTTTGTGTGTGTGTATGTGTGTGTATAATCACATTTTTATTCCTTTATACATTGATGGGCACTTCAGTTGTTTCTATATTTTGGCTATTGTGAATAACTGCAATTTTGTAGAACTTATCTTGTAGACATTTTGTGTATCTGCCATGAACTCAATGTCAGTGTGGCTTGTGTGCTACCCAAGAATACACAAGAGCAATTAAGTACTAAGGAATAAGATTTTGTTTGGTAGAATTGATCATTGACAAACCAACCATTGTAATATCTAAGATAATCCTACACTCCAAAAACCAGTTGTGACCTTTTATGGAAAATAGCAACTTCATTGAGAATGCATGCCTCAGTGTTTACTCTGGGAGAGGTGAATGAGTGGCCTTTCACACCACAGAACACCCGGTATGGGAGGGAGCTGCCTCCATATGCAGGTCACTCCATATGCAGTATGTTGGTTATCAACATACTGTCCTTAGCTTGGGGCAGTATCCCTGATTTTGAGACAATTAGAAAAATCTGACCCAAATTCTATTTTGCATTTTCTCATTTAATAAAAATATACTCATATATTTATTTAAAATATGTTTATTTAGTGCCTAATATATTGCAGGCCATCCTCATATCCCGATGCAGAAGGAAAGTGTCATTCTCCTATTTGTACACTGGTACCTCCCCTTCACCTCACATGGCACCCAGCATTGTAATTTTTATATGACTGGTGCCATCACATGATGCTGAAATAAAGCTATCATACTGAGATCCCACCTTGACCTATAACCAGACCCTCAGAGCATCTTGAGCCAAGACAGAGAACATAAGAGATGATTCCATGTTTATTTCCAGGAACTCCAGAAGAAGAGTTCCAGGTGAAATAGCCTCAGACTTTAGTGTCAGTCAATCCCGGAGATGTCCTAACCCTGGCCTGCAATATGTCTGCTCTGTCCCCAGAAGGGCCTGTCTTGTGGTTCAAGAGCATTGGGCCAGGACAACAATTAATCTTTAGTTGCAATGGAAGCCACTTCCCCAGAGTAACTCCAGTGGAAAACACAATGGTTGATCAAACTGACTATTCCATTCGCATCAGTGACGTGTTGCCAGAGGATGCTGGCACCTACTACTGTGTGAAGTTAAGGGTAGGACACCCTGACATGGAGTTTTTCTCTGGTCCAGGCACCACCGTGTATGTGAATGGTGAGCACAGCCTGATGCACTTTATTCCCTGGGTTTATGAAGATGAATCTTTAAAACCCTTCACCATGTACCAAATCATCACTACATACTGAACACCATGCTCCTTTATCCACGAACTACCCTGTAGACTAGGTTTCTTCTAATAGCCTTTCTAGTAAGCCATTCTGGACAACCTGTGCCAAATACTGAATCAAGCTATGTTGACAAGCCACATCCTTCTCTGATGCCAACCCCACCAGAACCCAATGACATAGGAGACATTTACAAATAAAAAGATACTGGATATGCAAGGTGCAACTACATGTGTGCACTGCATGGCCTAAATGGTAAGAAAACTGGGTCCTAGAAGGCTGACTGACTTCTAAGGTTTTACGAAGAAACCTGGGCCCAGGTATATGCATTGTGTATATTATGACTTATTCCATGACCCTGAACTTCCAGTCACAGATGCTAGTAGCCACATCTTAGCTTCTGATGGAATCTCAACATAGGTGAAGTTTTCCCCAAAATGCCCAGTATCTCCTGGGCCAAAACAAAGGGCTCTTCAGGCAGGTAGAATCTCTACATGCCTCCATGATCCCAGTCACCTTCCCATTACCAACTGGAATGTGATGGGGACCTGATAGCAAGTACCTGAGTGGTCACCACAGTCCAGTCTGAGATCACACTCCCATTCCCCATACAAGTCAATGAGTGGATGTGATCTCCTACCATGGCCTGGCACTGTTGTTAGGGAATTCTTAGACCAGAATGAGGGGTCTTGTGTATCAATCTCTCCAAAGTCTTTTTTGCAAAAAGCCTTCCCATAGGGGTTGAGTCATTCCCTGACACTTGAACTTTCCCAGGTCTGTCCTGAGACTTCCATGCCCAGCCCCACTGTTCTTTAATTCCCAGTATTTTTATTCCCAGGATAACCAGTATTTCCTTCTCCTCACCACCCTCTGAATTAACGTCATGAAATACAGTGGTATTAGGTGTCCCTCAGTTCTACCAGGAGAACTGACCTTCCCAGTAATGTTTCCCTTGAATCCAGACACATTCCATAATGCCAAAATGGCAATGGAAAATCCACAGGTTTCCCTTAAGTTACATAATGTCAATGCAGGCTGCCTTCCTACCATTACCTCCTGGCCCTGCCAGCCAGGAGTTCCCTTTCTCTCTAACCTGCTCCTTAGGCAGTCTGTGGTTTTGACAACCAAGCTTAATAGGAGAGATTATTACCAGGACCTGACACATTGTAGGGTAGTGATGATGACTGTGTAGGAGGGTAAAGGGTGGCTGGTGAGAACCTCCAAAATTGTAGAGGGCCCTTGAGGTTCTAATCTCTTTTTGTTGAGGAGAGGAAACCCTCTCCCTTCTCTCTCTTGAAGAGATAAGTAGTGGAACCATATGCTGTTGCCAAGACCACCTCATTCTTTAATTGTTTTAACTTCTTCTGTGCATCTCTCAGCATGAATTTCTGTACAAATTCAGAGGCTAATCACCCTTCAGAGGAGAGAGGAAGGCCAACCCCAAACTCAGTGGAGATGTAGGGTTGAAGGACAGGACTTGAACCCAGTTCCAAATGTACCGAGTGACTCTAGGCAATTAGATGGATAGGGAAACTAGTCTTTCTCCAAGAACATTACCCATTGATAATTGCCCCTTCTCTCTCCCTGTCCTCCTCTTACCACGGTTGAGGGCTGAGGAATGGAACTGAGGAGGAATACATCTGGTCTTCTGGACTAACTCCCTTCCTTCAGCACTCTAGGGAGAAGCTGCCTCCATGTGCAAAGGCCTCTCTTTACTCAATGCATGGGCATTTGCGCATGTCATTAAAAGAATTAATGAATGAGGCCCAACCGTGACCCGTACCCATGCTTAAGCCAGAACAGGGGAAATGAGAAATGATTTTCAGCTTTTTTCCAGGAGTCACACATGTGTTCCATGTGCAACAAACGGAGATGTCACAGACTGTATCAACTGGGGAGTCAATCATCTTGAGTTGCAGCGTACCCAATACCTTACCAAATGGACCTGTCTTGTGGTTCAAGGGAACAGGGCCAAACCGGAAATTAATCTACAATTTCAAACAAGGTAACTTTCCCAGAGTAAAAGAGATTGGAGACACCACCAAGCCTGGCAACACAGACTTTTCCACCCGCATCCGTGAAATCTCTCTTGCTGATGCTGGCACCTATTACTGCGTGAAGTTCATAAAAGGAAGAGCTATCAAGGAGTACCAATCAGGTCGGGGCACTCAGGTGTTTGTTACTGGTGAGTATGTCTCCTATACCCCATACCCCCTGGTGTATAATATCATCTCAGCAGTTATGTCTTCTATTCATTCAATAATTGCTATGTGCCAAATATTATTGAAGGTACAACATACATTTGATCTTTTTAATTCTCTCAGCAAGCTGTGAGTTAGGTATTTTACAGGAAGAAAAAAAGACTTGAAAAGGTTGAGTGATGAGTGATAAGAGCTATTTTGGTTGATTTCTCAATATTTAATCCACCCCCATGACTAACCTAAGCCAACTAGGATAATTCCATGTTCCCTGCTAGAGGTTTACTCAAATATGGGCTGAACTTGGCCAGTTTGGGTCTATCAGAGAAAAAGACAGGCTTGCAGAAAAATCTGGTAATCTAAAGTAATTCTTCCCTTTGTTGGCTGGAAACAAGCAACTGTGTTGCTCCAGGTGCTTTAAGCAGGCATCTTATGACCATGAGGGGAATAAGGTTGAGAAAAAGTCTAGATGAATGCAGATATGTAACAAGTGTGGATTGACAATCTGCACAACCATACTGCTCCTTGTTCCAATCTCACCTCTGGACCTCTAATAATGTGAAAGAAAACATCTCCTTGCTAAGCCAATTTGCTTAAATCAACAATGTCCTAAGGGCTACAAGAATGATAAAAGTCGCACATCCCACAGTGTGTTGTAGTGTGTTGAACTGCAAGTACAAATCTATGTTTCCCTGCATCCAAAGCCTTTTTCTTAGTGTTTTGCTACTTGTGGTGCCCTGTGAAATTTGGGCAATATCCAGCCTGAGAAATTATTAAATTGGTAATACAATAATGCTAACATTTATTGGGCATCTACTATATTCCAAACATTTCATCTATATTATCTACACAGCAACATTTGAATTGCTGGATGCTTGTACTCACTGTACAGATGAGGAACCTAACTCAGGGAGATTTCAGGAGTGTACATAGTAGGGAATAAAGAGGTGGGGTTGGTCTGGGCCCAGTCCAGTATGTTCTATATTAGTGAAGAACATTTACTTACAAGAAAGAAGATCAAATGCATTAATTTCAACCAAAAATATGAGTTGATTGATTCTGTACCTGCAGAGGATTCTGGGTTCCTCACAGTATTCAAGGCAGAACTTTTGGAACCAGGGACTAAAGGATTGGATTTAGGGCTTAATGTTACCAAGACTGTGGCTCTCTGAAATTCTCTCATCTCTTCATGGCTTTAATCTTTCCTGCTGCATATAAACCTTCAGTATATGATAGCGAAAATAAATGCAGAAAATGTTGATATTCATTCCCCCATCTTACAACCAAGGTGGAAAGACAGCTTCTTCCTACCAACCTTCACAAATGAGTTCTAGGGAACTATCCACATTAGCCTTTTGTATGCCATGTTGTCAACATTTTATTCGTTGTTGCTAGGGAGAGGAGGTCCATGGGAGATAACCAATCAACCCAATGGAACAAATGCTAAGCAGGTTGAAAACAAAATATGTTCATCCACCACATGGTCCACACCCTACCTTATCAGATGAGGAAGTTGAGCCTCTGAAAGGTTAATGGGCTTGTCTTCCAGGTTATGGGTACTGGAACCCAGGTAGACTCTTCTCGGAACCCTTTGGGTTTATGGCTTTGCCTCCTTCTTAGTAAGAAGTCTCTAGTTAGAGTGGAGATATAGGAGTGCATGACAGCTGTTTAGAGGGAGAATACTGTGAATGAGTTCAATATCTTTATTAACATTCAAATGTTCTGAGTCAGAAATGTACCAAATTTATGCCATTTCTTAATAAATAAAAATGTATACATATGTTTTTAAAATACTTAGCTATGTATTCGTTTCTTGTAGTTGGTGTAACTAATGGATACAAATTTGATGGCTTAAAACAACAGAAATAGACCACTATGGGTGGCATAACAGCACAAGGAGTTCCAAGGGCCCACTCCATGGAAACTGGTGAAAATTATTTTTAAAAAATATTTAGAGGCTCTGGAAATAGTATTAAGGGCATATCATAAATGAAGAAATAATTTTTAAACTACTAAAACTGGGGAAGAAAAGTAAAAGTCTGATATTTGAACCAAAACCCACCTTTTCCCTGTCAAAGGCTATACCCCATGGCAAAGAAGAGGAATCAACTGCACCAAAATAATCCATCCAGTCACTCAACAACTGTACAAGCAGATGACAATAACAAGCCTCGGTGGTTGTGAGGAAGACCAATATCCAGAGTTTCTACAATGTATTATCTAAGATGTCCAGTTTCAAAAAAAGTGAGACATGCAATAGAACAGAAAACTATGACAAGTATACCAAAAACAAACCAAAAAAAAAAAGGTATCAGAAACTGCTTGTTATGGCCATCAGATGTCAAACTTAACAGGCAAAGCATTTGGTGTAACCATTACAAATATGTTCAAAGAAACATGATTAAACAAACCATGATTAAATAAGTACAAGAAAGTAACATGATAATGTTGCATCAAATAGAAGATATCAATAAACAGAAATTATTAAAAAGAACCAAATGGAAATTTTATTATTCAAAAGTACAACAATTGAAAGAAAAATTACCCTAGAGGGGATTAACAGTAGATTTGAAGAAGCAGATTTAGCAAATTTGAAAATAGATTAATATAAATTATGGAATCTGAAGAACAGAGAAAAATTAAATGAAAATAACATTTAAAAAATGAACAGAGCCTCAGAGAAATGTAAGCCATCATTAAGCACACCGCATACATGTAATAGGGATAGCAGAAGGAGAGGAGAAAGAGAAAACAGCAGAAAAAAATATTCAAAGAAAGAATAGCTGAAAACTTCTCAAGTCTATTTAGTCAGCTGGACCGGAGACTGAAAAAGGAAACTCAAATTACTAGAATCAGAAATGAAGGAAGGAACATTACTAGCAACTTTATAGAAATAAAAAGGAATATTAAAGAATACTATGAAAAAATGTGTGCCTATAAACTAGGTTTATATGATGAAAAAGACAAACTCCTAGAAGACATAAAAATTACCAAAACTGGCCCAAAAATAATGGAGCATTTCAAGATACCTATAACAACTAAACAGATTAAATTAGTAATAAAAAATTACCCTGATATCGACACCAGACAAAGACATCACAAGAAAAAAACACAGATCAAATATATCTTACGTATATGGACACAAAAATCCCTTAAGAAAATACTAGCAAACTGAAACCAGCAACATATAGAAAGCATTATTCATGTTGACCAAGTGGGATTTATCCCATGAATACAAGGTTGGTTTAATATCTGAATGTCAATTAATTTAATACAACACAATATCAATAAAATAAAAAAGAAAACCACATAATCCTCTCAAGATGATAAAAAAAAAGGAATTTGGTAAAATCTAAAATTCTTTTATTTAAAAAGGTACTCAAAAAACTAGGAATAGTAGGGAACTTTATCAACCTGATAAAGAGCATGGATGCAAAACCCATAGCTAACATCATATTTAGCAAAACCGAAAGCCACAGCCAATGTCACAATTAATGAGGATGGTTAGATGCTGTCCCCAGTAGATCAAGAATAACACAAGGATATCTCCTATCACCATTTCTACTCAACGTTGTACTAAAATTTTTAGTCAGGACAATTAAGTAATAAAAACAATCCAAATTGGAAAGAATGAAGTAAAACTATCTCTATTGACAAATGGCATGTTCTTGTACATAGAAAATCCTAAGGAACCCACTAAAAAACTATTCAAACTACTGAGCAAGTTCAGCAAGCTTGAGAGTACAGTTCAATATACAAAAATCTATTACATTTCCACACACTTGGAATGAACACTAAAAATAAAAATAAATTTAACAAAAGAAGTGCAAATTTATACTCTGAAAACTACAAAAAAATGTTAAATGAAAGAAGATCTAAACAAATTGAAAATTTTCCCATTTTCATGGACCAGAAGATTTAACATTCTTAAGATGGCACTATTCCCCCAAACTGGTCTACAGATCCAACACAATCCTTATCAGAATCCCAACCTACTTTTTTGTAGAAATTGACAAGCTGATCTTAACATTCATGTGGAAATATGAAGGATCCAGAATAGCCAAAACAATCCTGAAAAATAAAGTAGGAGAACACACGTTTTTCTTTCAAAACTTACTACAGGCTGGACGCAATGGCTCACGCCTGTAATCCCAGCACTTTGGGAGGCTGAGATGGGAGGATCGCTTGAGGACAGGAGTTTGAGGCCAGCCTGGTGAACACAGTGAAATCTCATCTCTAAAAATAAATAAATAAAATAAAAATAAAAGTTCACTACAAGTCCACATCAATCAAGATAATGTGGTACTGGAACAGGATAGACCTATAGACCAATGGAAAAGAGAGAGTCCAGAAACAAGCCCATGTATCTGTGGTCAACTGATTTTCAACAAGTGTGATAATGAGGAAAGAAGCATCTTTTCAACAAATAATGCTGAAACAACTGGATAGCCACACACAGAAAACAATGAAGTTGAACCCTACTTCACACCATATACAAAAATTAACTCAAAATGGTTTGAAAGCCTAAAAATACCTATAAAGCTTTTATAATAAAACATAGGGATAAATCTTAATGACATCAGATTTTGCATTGGCTTCTTAAGCATAGTATCAAAAGCATGAGAAACAAAAGAAAAAATAGATATATTGGACTTCATAAAAATTAAAACCTTTTATGCTTCAAAGGACATTATCAAGAAAGTAAAAAGATAACCCACAGAATGGGAAAAATATTTGCAAATTACATATCTGATAAGGGCCTTGAGTTTAGAATATATAAAGAATTTCTCCAAAGCAGATATTCAAATTGCCAATAAGCACATCAAAAGGAGCTCAGCATAATTTATCCTCAGGGAAATGCAAATCAAAACTATAATGAAATACAACTTTGCACTCATAAGGATAGCTAAAATCAAAAATCAGATAACAAATGTTTATGAGAATGTAGAGGAATTGTAAACCTCATACACTGCAGGTGGAAATGCAAAATGGTGAAGCCACTTTGGAAAATAGATAGGCAGCTCCTCAAACAGTCAAACATAAGTTACTATATGACCCAGCTATTCCACTCCTAGGTATTTACTCAAGAGAAATGAAAACATATGTTCACACAAAAATTTGTGCACAAATGTTTATAACAGCATTCACACTATCTGAAAGGTAGAAACAATCCAAACATCTATCAACTGATGAATGGAAAAGCAAGGTATGATCTATACATACAGTGGAATATTATTAGGCTATGAAGAGGAATGACATACTAAGACATGCAGCAACATGGATAAACCTTGAAAGCATATGCTAAGTTAAAGAATAAAATCACAAAAGGTCACTTATTCTCTCTAGATTCTTCCTCTCTGTGCAGGACATCTCTGAAAGAAAGACAGCAGCCCCAGTCAGGGGCTTATAGATAAAACTCCCATCTCCCTGGGACAGAGCACCGGGGGGAAGGGGCAGCTGTGGGCACAGCTTCAGCAGACTTAAACATTCCTGCCTGCCGGCTCTGAAGAGAGCAGTGGATCTCCCAGCACAGCGCTTGAGCTCTGCTAAGGGACAGACTGCCTCCTCAAGTGGGTCGCTGACCCCCGTGCCTCCTGATGGGGAGACACCTCCCAGCAGGGGTCGACAGACACCTCATACAGGAGAGCTCTGGCTGGCATCTGGCAGGTGCCCCTCTGGGATGAAGCTTCCAGAGGAAGGAGCAGGCAGCAATCTTTGCTGTTCTGCAGTCTCCACTGGTGATACCCACGAAAACAGGATCTGGAGTGGACCTCCAGCAAACTCCAGCAGACCTGCAGAAGAGTGGCCTGACTGTCAAAAGGAAAACTAACAAACAGAAAGCAACAGGATCAACATCAACAAAAAGGATGAGCATGCAAAAATCCCATCAGAAGGTCACCAACATCCAAGATCAAGGTAGATAAATCCATGAAAATGAGGAAAAAACAGCGCAAAAAAGCTGAAAACTCCAAAAACCAGAATGTCTCTTCTCCTCCAAAGAATGACATCTCCTCGCCAGCAAGGCAACAAAACTGGATGGAGAATGAGTTTGACGAATTGACAGAAGTAGGCTTCAGATGGCGGGTAATAACAAACTCCTCCATGCTAAAAGAGCATGTTCTAACCCAATGCAAGAAAGCTAAGAAACTTGATAAAAGGTTGCAGGAACTGCTAACTAGAATAACCAGTTTAGAGAAGAACATAAATGACCTGATGGAGCTGAAAAACACAACACGAGAACTTCATGAAGCATACAGAAGTATCAAGAGCTGAATCAATCAACCAGAAGAAAGGATTTCAGAGATTGAAGATCAACTTAATGAAATAAAGTATGAAGACAAGATTAGAGAAAAAAGAGTGAAAAAGAATGAACAAACCCTCCAAGAAATATGGGACTATGTTGAAAAGACCAAACCTACGTTTGATTGGTGTACCTAAAGTGATGGGGAGAATGGAACCAAGTTGGAAAACACACTTCAGGATATTATCCAGGAGAACTTCCCCAACTTAGAAAGACAGGCCAATATTCAAATTCAGGAAATACAGAGAGCACCACAAAGATACTCCTCGAGAAGAGCAACCCCAAGACACACAATCGCCAGATTCACCAAGGTTGAAATGAAGTGAAAAATGTTAAGGCAGCCAGAGAGAAAGATTGGGTTACCCACAAAGAGAAGCCCATCAGACTAACAGCAGATCTCTCTTCAGAAACCGTACAAGCCAGAAGAGAGTGAGGACCAACATTCAACATTCTTAAAGAAAAGAATTTTCAACCCAGAATTTCATATCCAGCCAAAAAAAGCTTCATAAATGAAGATAAATAAAATCCTTTACAGACAAGCAAATGCAGATATTTTGTCACCACCAGGCCTGCCTTACAAGAGCTCCTGAAGGAAGTACTAAATATGGAAAGGAAAAACTGGTACCAGACACAGCAAAAACACGCCAAAATGTAAAAACTATTGACACTATGAAGAAACTGCATCAACTAATGGGCAACATAACCAGCTAGCATCATAATGACAGGATCGAATTCACACATAACAATATTAACCTTAAATGTAAATGGGCTAAATGCCCCAATTAAAAGACACAGACTGGCAAATTGGATAAAGAGTCAAGACCCATCGGTGTGTTGTATTCAGGAGACCCATCTCACATGAAAAGATACACATAGGCTCAAAATAAAGGGATGGAGGAAGATCTACCAAGCAAATGGAAAGCAAAAAAAAAAAAAAAGCAGTTGTTGCAATCCTAGTCTCTGATAAAACAGACTTTAAACCAACAAAGATCAAAAAAGACAAAGAAGGGCATTGCATAATGGTAAAGGCATCAATAAAACAAAAAGAGCTAACTATCCTAAATATATATGCCCTCAATACAAGAGCACCCAGATTCATAAAGCAAGTTCTTAGAGACCTACAAAGACATTTAGACACCCACACAATAATAGTGGGAGACTTTAATATCCCACTGTCAATATTTGATACATCAATGAGACAGAAAATTAACAAGGATATTCAGGACTTGAACTCAGCTCTGGACCAAGCAGACCTAATAGACATCTACAGAACTCTCCACCCCAAATCAACAGAATATACATTCTTCTCAGCACCATATCTCACTTATTCTCAAACTGACCACATAATTGGAAGTAAAACACTCCTCAGCAAATGCAAAAGAATGGAAATCATAACAGTCTCTCAGATCACAGTGCAATCAAATTAGAACTCAGGATTAAGAAACTCACTCAAAACTGCACATCTACATGGAAACTGAACAACCTGCTCCTGAATGACTACTGGGTAAATAATGAAATTAAGGCAGAAATAAATAAGTTTTTGAAACCAATGAGAACAAAGACACAATTTACAGAATCTCTGGGACACATTTAAAGCAGTGTTTAGAGGGAAATTTATAGCACTAATGCCCACAGGAGACAGCAGGAAAGATCTAAAATAGACACCCTAAAATCACAAAAGAACTAGAGAAGCTAGAGCAAACAAATTCAAAAGATAGCAGAAGACAAGAAGTAACTAAGATCAGAGCAGAACTGAAGGAAATAGAGACACAAAACACCCTTCAAAAAATCAGTGAATCAAGGAGCTGTTTTTTTTAAAACATTAACAAAACAGATAGAGTAGATTAATAAAGAAGAAAAGAGAGAAGAATCAAATAGACACAATAAAAAATGAAGAAGGGAATACCCTGATCCCACAGAAATACAAACTACCATCAGCGAATACTATAAACACCTCCATGCGAATAAACTAGAAAATCTAGAAGAAATGGATAAATTCTTGGACACATACACCCTCCCAAGTCTAGTCCAGGAAGAAGTTGAATCCCTGAATAGACCAATAACAAGTTCCGAAATTGAGGCAGTAATTAATAGCCTGCCAACCCAAAAAAGCCAAGGACCAGATGGATTCACAGCCGAATTCTACCAGAGGTACAAGAGGAGCTGATACCATTCCTTCTAAAACTATTCCAAACAATAGAAAAAGAGGGACTCCTCCCTAACTCATTTTATGAGGCCAGCATCATCCTGATACCAAAACCTGGCAGAGACACAACAAAAAAAGAAAATTTCAGTTCAATATCCCTGATGAACACATCGATGCAAAAATCCTCAATAAAATACTGGCTAACCGAATGCAGCAGCACATTAAAAATCTTATCCACCATGATCAAGTCAGCTTCATCCCTGGGATGCAAGGCTGGTTCAACATATGGAAATCAATAAACGTAATCCATCACATAAACAGAACCAATGACAAAAACCACAATTATCTCAATAGATGCAGAAAAGGCCTTCAATAAAATTCAACACCCTTCATGCTAAAAACACTCAATAAACTAGGTATTGATGAAATGTAGCTCAAAATAGTAAGAGCTATTTATGACACAGCCAGTATCATACTGAATGGACAAAAGCTGGAAGCATTCTCTTTGAAAACCAGAGCAAGACAAGAATGCCCTCTCTCACCACTTCTATTCAACATAGTATGGGAAGTACAGGCTGGGGCAATCAGGCAAGAGAAAGAAATAAAGGGTATTCAAATAGGAAGAGAGGAAGTCAAATTGTTTCTGTTTACAGATGACATGATTGTATATTTAGAAAACCTCATCATCTCAGCCCCAAAACTCCTTAAGCTAATAAGCAAATTCGACAAAGTCTCAGGATACAAAATCAATATGCAAAAATCACAAGCATTCCTATACATCAATAATCGACAATCAGAAAGCCAAATCATGAGTGAACTCCCATTCACAATTGCTACTAAGAGAATAAAATACCTAGGAATACAACTTACAAGGGATGTGAAGGACCTCTTTGAGGAGAACTACGAACCACTGCTCAAGGAAATAAGAGAGAGGACACAAACAAAAAACATTCCACTCTCATGGATAGGAATAATCAATATCGTGAAAATGGCCACACTGCCCAAAGTAATTTATAGAATCAATGCTATTCCCATCGAGCTACCATTGACTTTTTTCACAGAATTAGAAAAAAATGACTTTAAATTTCATATGGAACCAAAAAACAGCTCGTATAGCCAAGACAATCCTAAGCAAAAAAGAGCAAAGCTAGAGGCATCATGCTACCTGACTTCAAACTGTACTACAGTGCTACAGTAACCAAAACAGCATGGTACTGATATGAAAACAGATATATAGACCAATGGAACAGAACTGAGGCCTCAGAAATAACACCACACATCTACAACCATCTGATCTTTGAGAAACCTGACAAAAATAAGCAATGGGGAAAGGATTCCCTATTTAATAAATGGTGTTGGGAAAACTGGCTAGCCATATGCAGAAAACTAAAACTGGACCCCTTCCTTACCCCTTATACAAAAATTAACTCAATATGAATTAAAGATGTAAATGTAAGACCTAAAACCATAACAACCCTAGAAGAAAACCTAGACAATACCATTCAGGACATAGGCATGGGCAAAGACTTTATGACTAAAACACCAAAAGCAATTGCAACAAATGCCAAAATTGACAAATGGGATCTAAGTAAACTAAAGAGCTTCTGCACAGCAAAAGAAACTATTATCAGAGTGAACAGGCAAGCTACAGAATGGGAGAAAATTTTTGCAATCTATCCATCTGGCAAAGGGCTAACATCCAGAATCTACAAGGAACATGAACAAATGTACAAGAAAAAAACAAGCAACCCCATCAAAAAGTGGGCGAAGGATATGAGCAGACACTTTTCAAAAGAAGACATTTATGCAGCCAACAAACAAATGAAAAACAGCTCATCATCACTGGTCATTTGAGAAATGCAAATCAAAGCCACAGTGAGATACCATCTCAGGCCAGTTAGAATGGTGATCATTAAAAAGTCAGGAAACAACAGATACTGGAGAGGATGTGGAGAAATAGGAATGCTTTTACACTGTTGGTGGGAGTGTAAATTACTTCAACCATTGTGGAAGACAGTGCAGTGATTCCTCAAGGATCTAGAACTAGAAATACCATTTGACCCAGCAATCCCATTACTGGGTATATACCGAAAGGATTATAATCATTCTACTATAAAGACACATGCACATGTATGTTTATTGCAGCAGTATTCACAATAGCAAAGACTTGAAACCACCCCAAATGCCCATCAATGATAGGATAGATAAAGAAAATGTGGCACATATACACCATGGAATACTATGCAGCCATAAAAAAGAATGAGTTTATGTCCTTTCCAGGGACATGGATGAAGCTGAAACCATCATTCTCAGCAAACTAACACAAGAACAAAAAAATAAACACCACATATTCTCACTTATAAGTGGGAGTTGAACAACGAGGACATATGGGCACAGGGAGGAGAACATCACACACCAAGGCCTGTTGGGTGGTGGGGGACAAGAGGAGAGACAGCATTAGGAGAAATACCTAATGTAGATGTTGGGTTGATGGGTGCAGCAAATGACCATGGCACATGTATAACTGTGTAACAAACCTGCAGGTTCTGCACATGTATCCCAGAACTTAAAGTATAATTTAAAAAATCAATTTTTTAAATAATTCCATGTATATGACATACTCAGAATAGGCAAATCTATAGAGACAGAAAGTAGATTAAAGACAGAACATTTCTTATGATTTGGGGGATGGTGGAAAGATAGGGAAAATGGAGGTTATTACATGAAAGGCATGGAGTCTTTTTTGAGATGATAAAAATGTTCAAAATGACTGTGGTTATGATTGCACATATCTACAGACAAATATCTGCAAATATTGAATTGTACATTTTAAATGTGTAAATTGTATGGTGTATGAAGTACATCTCAATAAAGTTGTTTAAAAACCAAATTTAGTCTCTTACAGTTCTAGAAGCCAGAAGTCTGAAATCTGCATCTCTGGACTGAAATCAAGGCATCAGCAGAACTGCTCCTTCTGGAGGTTCTAGGAGAGAACATATTCCCTTTCTCTTTTGGCTTCTGGTTTGCTGCCAGCATCCCTGGCCTGTCAGCAGCATAGAATAAATCTTCAAGGCCAGTGTCTTTAAATCTCTCTGTGTTCCATTTTCACATTGCCTTCTCACAATTAAGCTACCAGATTCTTAACAAATCTGTATTAGTCATCTATGCTGCATAACAAATTACCCAAAACTTAGTGATTTCAAACAACAAACACTTACTGTCTCCCAGTGTCTGTGAGTCAGGATTCTAGACATAGTTTAGGTTGAGTGATCTTGGTTTAAGGTCTCTTTTAAGGCTGCAATCAAGGTGTCTGCCAATAATGCAATAATCCAAAGGCTCAACTGGAGAAGAATCCACTTCAAGCTCACTCCCATGGCTATTGGCAGGCCTCAGATCCTTGCGGGCAACTGGCTGAAGACATCAGATATCTGCTACATGGGCTTCTCCATAGGACAGCTCACAACATGGCAGCTGCTTCTCCTCAAGAAGCAGGAGAGAGGGGAAGAAGAAGATACAAGTCACAATTTCTTTATAAGCTAATTTCAGAAGTGACATCCTGTTACTTTTACTTTTTCATTAGAAGTGAATCACTAGATCCAGAGGAAGGGATTACATAGTGGGGTGAATGCCAGGAGCTGGAGATAATCTCAAAGGCTGACTACCACAGCAGTTCTCTCAGTAACTAGGAGGACATGCAGACAAAATGTCAGTAAGGATACAAAAGATTTGATCAAGGTGATTAACAAATTTGATGTAATTGAGCACTGCACCCAACAACTGAAAAACACAGCTCCTTTTCAAGCCCATGTGAGATATTAACTAAAATTAATCATAAGCTTGGTCAAGAAGCAAGTCTCAACAAATCTTGAAATATCAAAATTATATAAGTATGTTTTCTGATCATTGTGGAATTAAACTATAAATATTTACAAAAAGATCATTAGAAAATCCTCATATATTAGGAATTTGGGAAATAATCTAAATAACTGATTTATCAAAAAAGAAATTACCACAGATACTAGAAAATATTTTGGACTAAATAATAATTAAAATACTGCACATTAAACTTGAGGCATGTAGTTACTGCTGTACTTGGAATTTATAGCCTTAAATCCCTATATCAGAAAAATAAAAATGATTGAAACCCAGTAATGAAAGCATCCATTACAACAATTTACTAAAACAATGACAAAGGTTTAATTTTAGTGTGGTCAGTGGGGGTGGGGAAGATGTTGCCAAGGGTGCTGTCTAGTTACTACTGCTGCATAGCAAAACACCCCAAAACACAAGGTCAAAAAAACAACCATCTTATTATGATCAATGACACTGTGGGTAAGGAATTCAGACAGGGTACAAGAATGACTTATCTCTGCTATATGTTGCCTGGGGTCTCAGTTGGGAAACTCACCTGGGGATGACTCAACTGCTGGGTCATCTGGAAGCTTCTTCTTTTACATGTCTGATGATTGATAATGGATATTGGCTGCATCTTAGCTGGGATGTCAGTTAGAACTCTTACATGTGTCCCTGCAATGTGATCTCTTCATGCATGCTAGTTTGGGCTTCCTCATAGCATGGTGGCAAGGTTCCAAAAATTAGCATCCCAAGAAAGCCAGGTAGAAATGCAGGGAATTATTATGGTCTAGCCTCAGAAGTCACATCACATCCCTTCTGTTGCAGTCACAGACCTGCCCAAACTCAGGGGGAGGGAACATATGCCTACATCTCCATGGGAAGAGTGTCGAAGAGCATGAGTGAAGAGGGACCTTGTTGCAGTCAGCTCTAGAAAATAGAATCTGTCATCAGTGAAGACAGGGATTAGAGTTAGAACAAAGAGTGCTAAACGGAACACTCTGGCCAGTTCCTTGTCAAGAAATCCCTCTCAGAAAAAATGTTTAACAAGCTAGAATAAGGTGTCGAGGGGAGAGGGACACTCATCATGCTACAGAGCAATCAAATCTCATCGCTGATTGGCCCCTTTCATTCCACCCCTTCTCATCACCATTCTCATCACCAACATCCGGTCAGCCACTGGTAAGGAGGCAGGGGTGGGGAGCAGTGGGGAAACTGAGTCACAGGAGGCAGTGTCTGGCACTGGGTCCACAGAAGTGATGAGCTCATGGCTAGAGGCTCTGAATGTGATTTCATGTGCAGGTGGCTGCTGCTCAGAAGGAGGAGAGGAGATGTATTCTTGGTGTGAGTGTTTCTACATCTCCTCCACTCCCTTCTCCCAAGAGGTGGCCCCAGACTAGGGACAGAAAAAAGAGATACCCCTCCTCCTCCCAGCTGCGTTTCTGCATGTCACTGTTCCTGCAGTATGAGCACACTAAGGCCCTGCACCCCCCGCTTGACACACACAGGCTTCTTCCCCTTTTCTCTAAAACAGAAACTATCCTCCTCCTCCCAAGATCGAACTCCTTGCTCACTCAAAGTCACTTCCCCTGTAAGCGTACTTTGAAGAGCCAAAGCCTCCCATCAGATATGGCTTCAGGATCATTTTTACAACTGACACCTCTGGAGTGGGGAAAAACAGGGATCCACACCTGTGAAGCCCCATTCCCGGGAGCCCTCCTCCTGACTAGCTGCACAGCTCATCTGAGCCCAGGTCTTGGACTATCACAGGAGGCTGGACACACCGTTCTCTATGGCAGACCCTGTTCCTGGGCTCCTGGATGAGGAAGGGTCACCAGCACACCTGACACAAAGTGAGGGGCCCAAAGGACACAGCCTAGGCACTAAGGGTGTCTGCCAGGGCCCCTCCAAGCACCTTGGGACCCTTATATCAGTAACTTATTAGCTTGTGTCTGATTCCTATTTCACAATCTAGAAACTGGAACGGTCATAATCCTACAGCCCTTTCCTCCCATCATAGTAACTTCCTCTTATATCATGGAACACATAGTTTTGCCTCTCTCAGCAGAGCAGAATCCAAGACCTCCCAAGAACAGACCTGCAGGCAGAGCAGGCTCCAGGGCCCACCATGATGCCCATACCTGCCTCTCGGCCCTGCCTGAGAGAAACAGCACAAACTATTTCGTCCAACCCTGCTGCTGCCTCCGGCTGCTGGGACTCACAGGTGAGTGCCCCCACCCTCAGGTACCATGATGCAGGGATGCTCTCCTGAGTTTGGCGGCGGTACCATTTCGCCACCTGCAGTGGGGCGGATGAATCTCTGTTGTCCTAGGGCCTCTTTCTTTGCCACCCCTTCCTCTTTAAGACACTTCCCTAAATAGTTTGTTTTATAACTAGTGTCTCCAAAACAAATCCTTCCAGAATTCTTCTTGCTTGGAGGGGTTGCTTTCTCTCCCATCCAGGCGTTTCCCCATGACAGGGGTGCCCAGTCCCTCTCACTTCCCACACCCCTGATGTCCTGTGAAGGTTCCACGACCCCCTAGGCCTGACCTGCAGGACCTGATGCCATCCTGAGAGAAGAAGTAGAGGAGCAGCATTTGACCCCTTGGTCCCCAGGAGGGAGACAGGGATGCTGTCATTAAGATGAGTACACATGGATGCATAGGTGATTAATAGATAGATTAGATAGATAGATAGGTAGATAGATAACAACAAGTACTACACATGCAATGTAGAACTATTAGAAAAAATTGCTAAATGGTCCTTTTTAGACTAGTAAGTCTCCCAGAATCTCAGAAACCTAGGATTACGTTCTTGATGCGGGTGTTTCTCCTGCCTGTCTACTCTCTTCTCTCCAAAGATGATCTGCACAGTCAGGAGAGGCAACCATTCTTCTCCCAGTGGTGTTAACATCTCAATTTAGAGTCCAACTAATAAAGTGGTTAAAAGCACAGGCATTAAAAAAAAAAAAAAAAACGACAGGCCGGGGTTCAAATGCAAGTTTCATCATTTGTAGGCTGTTTGACTATGGATAAGTTACTCAACTTCTCTGTGCCTCTGTTTTCTTGTCTGTGAAATCGGGATAAATAATAATGCCTTTCCAATACAGTTGTGGTGAGAATCAAACTAGTTAATTAATATAGTTAAGTTTTTGGAGTAATGTGTAGCACACAGAACCACCTATGTGAGCTCTGGTTGTTACAGCCTTTTAGGGCTTAATAAGTGCAAATATGAGCCCACGAAAATAGTCCTGCTGCATCCGGCCATTGCAACTCTCACTCTGTGTCTTTGGCAAGTCTATGTCTTCACTTAGAACTCACAGAAGTCATGGGAACTGAGAAAGGTCCATCAGGCTTGGTAGAAGAAGGAACTGAAAGCCAAGCAATGGTGTGCGCTTCCTAGAATCACCAGGTTGTCAGGGCTGGAGCCTGGCCTACTGGACTTGCAGTTAAGAATGGAAAGCCCATTTCACAGAAGTCCTTCTATGAGCACAGTCCTGAGTGTTTCTCAAAGATTTTCAGGTTTCAGTATCACAACAAAATTGCAAGAGGAAGTTTTACTTTCCACATTGTATACATTACATAGATAAGAAAACAGAGCCTCAGGGAGGTTATTTTCGCAAAGTAAAACACCAATGTCAGTCCTTTTTCTGTTGCTTAGAATAGAATACATGAAACTGGATTATTTATAAAGAAAAAGAACCTATTTCTTATAGTTGTAAAGGCTGAGATGTTCAAGGTCAAGGGGCCATATTTGGTGAGAGCTTTCTTGCTGGTGGGGACTCTCTAAAGAGTCCTGAGGCAGCACAGGGTATCACATGGTGAGGGGACTGAGCATGCTAGCATACTATACTTGGGTCTCTCTCTCTCTTCTTATAAAACCAACAGTTCCCCTCCCATGATAACCCATTAATCCACTAATTTGTGAAATAACGCAGAGTCCTTATGACCCAATCACCTCTTAAAGACCCTACCTCTCAATACTGCACATTGAGGATTGAATTTCAACATGAATTTTGGAGGGGACAAATATTTAAACTATAGCAATCAAGCAATAGAGGAGGCATTGAAACCTGGGTCAATGGGACTCCACTAGCTCTTACTTTGACCTCTTCACTGTGCTGCTTCTAGATACATCGAACTTTTAACAAAAATAAGATTACACAAAATATGGTGGTTTATTTGTTCTTTTACTCAATGATAAATTGGGGACCCTTTTCTATGTAAATATATATGTGTCTGCAACATCATCAATACATCCCCAATATATACATCAACACTATCATTTCAATCTCTACATAGTTTTCCATTTTGTGGTTGTACCATCATTTATCTAACTCACTCCTATTCTTGGACATGGGCCATGCATCAAACTTTTCTATATTGTAAATACTATGATTACCATTCCTTTACAAATCATATTCACCCTTGTCTGATTGTTTCTTTTGAATAAGGCCGTCAAAGAGGAATTACTAAATCAAAGGGTATGAGTTTTATTGGGAAATTGCATTTCAAAAGTGTTTTTTGGTTTCAAAAGCCATTTCCCAATGAAACGTGAGTGTCTCAATATCAGTAATATATTATCTCACCACACCCAGCACAGAAGCAGCAGCAATGGACAGGGGGTATTTTGAACATTTGGGACCAAAACAGATTTGGTTAAAGTATCTCCACTTTACTTGTTTAAATATGGGTTTGTCACGTGGACATAGATCATAAGATCATGACTGTGATGCTGTATTGCCATCTAGAGAGATCGTGTCCATTGTTATTCCCACCAGCAGTATGTGGGAGCGCCTGCCTCACCACAACCTTAGCAACACAGAAAATTGGCAATCTTTTTCATGTTTGCTAAGCTAATATTCTAAAAATTGTGTCTGCTCTTAGCTTGCAGGAGGGAGAAATGTTTTATTTTATTTTATTTTTATTGTATTTCAGGCTTGCTGTCAAAATAATCCAAACAGGGAAGGAACGTACAAGTAAATAACAAAAGCCCCCATACTCTTCTGACTCCCTGGAGACAGCTACTTTTTAGGAGTTTCATTTGCCTTCTTCAAGAGAGCTTTCTTCCACTGACATAAAATGCCAGCTTGATCGTACAATAAATCTGTCTATTTACCTGGGTCCAATTCCAGGTTCTCTCTTCTGTTTCATCGACCTCTCTGCTTGCCTTGGTACCAACCTGCCTCTACTATTTATTGCAGCCTGAAAATGTGCTCTAACTTTCATATGCTGAAACCTGCGTACATTTTTTTTAAAAACTTTTCCAGCTAGTCTGTCATGGACGTTAGCAATTTGTGTGTGGTTTAACTATGCACTTCACTGGATTACTGGTGTTGTTGAACATCTTTTCTAGAAGTATTTCTTCTCTTTTGACTTCCTGACTGTGTCCTTAGCAAGGGCTGTCTGTCTATCTTGTCTCTATGTCTCTCTTGATACCCAGTTAAGGAATGTGCCCATCCTAAAAGCTAATACATGATATGGAAAGAAAGAATGAATGGGGCTTCAAATGCAATCTGAACCCAGGCACCTGGACCGCAGCCTCATCCCCAGCTGGAGCTTGGAGCTGACGTGTGTTCTTCCAGGAGTGGCGGGTGAGGAGGAGCTGCGGGTAATTCAGCCTGAGAAGTCCGTGTCAGTCGCAGCTGGAGAAGCGGCCACTCTACACTGCACTGTGACCTCCCTGATCCCCGTAGGGCCCATCCAGTGGTTCAGAGGAGCTGGACCAGGCCGGGAATTAATCTACAGTCAAAAAGAAGGCAACTTCCCCTGGATAAGAACTGTTTCAGACATCACAAATAGAAAGAGCACAAACTATTCCATCTGTATCAGAAGCATCACACCAGCAGAGCCGGCACCTACTACTGTGTGAAATTCCAGAAAGGAAGCCTACATGAAGATTAAGTCTGGACAAGGCACCCAGATGTTTGTGCATGGTGGAGTACAGATCCCTAGAAATCCAGCGCATTGTTCTAAAACAAATTACAATCCCTGGGAGCCTAGCCTAAGGCTCCCCCTTTGTTAGCCCTTGTGCCAAGATTATGAATAGAAGATGGGGATAGTGAGAGGTCACAGTGAAGGAACAGGGTGAAATGTAACCCCAGCGCCATCTATCAGTAGACTCCTAACTCTTTAGAATCTTACAGCTTCCAAAGGCCCACAAAGCACAGTGGGTAAAAGTAGACTACAGCGCCAGATGGCCTGGGATCAACTTCTTGCTCTGCCATTTACATGCTATGTGACATTAATTCTATTTTTTTTTTTTACAAGGTCTCTCTGTGTTGCCCAGGCTGGAGTGCAGTGGCGTGATCCCAGCTCACTGCAACCTCTGCCTCCCAGGTTCACGTGATTCTCGTGCCACAGCCTCTTGAGTAGCTGGGATTATAGGCATGTACCATCATGCCCGGCTAATTTTTTTGGATTTTTTTTAGTAGAGACCTGATTACGCCACGTTGGCCAGCCTGGTCTCGAACTCCTGACCTCAAGTGATCCTCCCACCTCGGCCTCCCAAAGGGCTGGGATTACAGGCATGAGCCACCATGCCCAGCCTATGTGACCTTAATTCTTAATTAAGATTCTTAATTCAAAATGTTAAATTCTCTGTGCCTCAATTCCCTTGTGTTTAAGGTAGGGATAACAATAGTATCCACTTCACAGATTTGTTATAAGAATTATAAATGTGAATGGGCTTATAAATGGAAAACACTTAGAAGAGTGCCTGCTGTATAATAATTATTATATTACTATACATCATTAATACTCAGGATATTACAACCAATTAAACTTAAAAACATAATCTTAAAAGCATGGAACCATAGATTCCCATAAGATATGAATGATAAATTTATTGAGGCAGAAAGTTATAAGAATCACATGTAGATTATTGATATAGAATATGTAATTCCTACATTTCTTGAATTTTGTCCTTTGTTTCTATAAGTTCTGTGTATTCTCGAGTTTGGTCCTGGCTGATTCAATCATGGCTGAAGACAAACCTTGCAAGACTCTAAACAGCACCCATTAAAGGAAAGCCTGGGAAGCCCAACAGTTAGTTCAGATGTACTTGTATTGGTGAATTAATTATTATGATTCTTTTTTAAAAAAATGAGTGTGATAATTTACTGTAACAGAACCATAGAAACATACATCAAGATAATTTAGGGGACTTTCACATTTTAGCTTACAGCCATGGAGAAACAAGGAGAATGGTAGGCAGTCTTTGGGGACAAAGAGAATGTCATACAATTTTAAAGAATTGAAACTAAAAAGTTATGCACAAAGCACTGTGAGTGACACCAGCATGAGATGCCTAAGGACAATATTAGACCCAGGAATACAAGGAATAGTGCCTTCACAATTCTTAGGGAAAATTATTTCAAAGCTAAAATCATTTACCCAGACAATCTATGGAGTTTGCAAGATTATCAAGAATTGCTTTTTACACCCTCTTATGCTTAACTAAAATAGGAGTCATACAAAAAAAAAAAGGTAAGAATGAGAACTAGGAATAGGGGATTGGAAACCCTAAGATAACAGTTGTGCAGGAGGCATAGAAATGGCCACTGGGCCATTCCAGAACAGGAGGACTTGCAGCATTACTAGGGACATCTCCAAAAGATAGAATCAGTAGAATACTTAAGCAGTCTTCAAACTCATGCCCACCATTTCTAATAGTATTTAACATTACGTTGAAGTATTTGTCAATGCTTTTAGAAGGAGAGAACAATAAAAAGCATATTAATTGCAAAGGAAGTGGGAAAACTATCTCTCTTTGTAGATGATATGGTATCTGGAAAACTTAATAGAATCAACATTAAACTGCTATAAAAAACAAGATAATTTAAGTAACATAGTAAGTTATAAAATCAACAAACAGAAATCAACAACCTTCACATATACAAAGAAAAACCAGTTAGAACATACAGTGAAAAAAGACAAACACATAGTACAATAGCAAAATTAAATTAAATTAAATAATTGGGGCAACTTCTACCAAAATAGTGATGGGGACTGGATTTACTCTCTTGCTAAAAATCTGGGCAAATTATTTAAAACATGGTAGACAAGACATTGGATACCAGGCAACAAAGGACAGTGATCCCTGTGAAATGGGACATAAATGAAGCGAGCCCTAAGGCTGCCCTAAGAGTACTCTCTGAGAAGGCTTTAAGACCACCATGCAGAACGAGATAACTCAGGTGGAGCCCGAAGTTCTCCCTGAGTTGTTAAGAAGGACCTGGATGTCCACAGAGGCCAAGTGACTAGAGTTTTCAGGGTAGGGCACCAAAGAGCAGGTCGTTTCACAGAAAGAGAACTCCAAATATCTGTAAAAGGTCCCCATTGAATATTCAGTGAAGTATTGAAAAGTGTATTATGTACATGAGAAAAGTACATGAGGCCAGAGGAGAAAAATTTCTGGAGCTTACGCAAGGCTAAGAATAGTGCCTGATCTTTACAACCTGAGTGAAAAAAACTTATAATTCATGGGACATCTGGTAGAATACACAGAAGAGTTCTGCCTCAGTAAAGGAAAAAGAATTAGCCCTAGACCAAATGATGCTGGAGGCATGCCTTGCAAAGCTTAAGTCCAAAACATGAAAAGTTCAAACCGCTTCCAGGTAATTTAACCATGTCCCAAAACAAGCTCAAGCATATTTATAGAAAGGCAAAATACCCACTACCCATTGAAGTAAAAGTCACAATATCTGTTATCCAATAAAAAATTACCAGGCATGAAAATGGCAGGAAAATGTGATTCATAATAAGAAAAATTAATCATTTGAAACTAACCAGAAAAGACAGGTGATAAAATTAGTACACAAAGAAATTAAAGTTATTATAAGTATACTCTGTATGTTCAGGAAGCTAGAAGAAAAACTGAATATGTGAAGTAGATGCACGGAAAATATTTAAAAGATCCATATTGAACTTTTAGAGATGAAAGCTGCAATATCTAAGATGAAAAATAGACTGAGTAGGATTAATAGCAGTTAAGATGTTGAAGAAAATAGATTAATGAACTTAAAGACACAACAACAGAAACTATTCAAAATGACACAGAGAGATAAAAATGGAATATATAAAGCCACATCCAAATATAAGACCAAAAAAATTAAAAACTGTATAAAAGATAAACAGAGCAGCCAGATGCAGTGGCTCACGCCTGTAATCCCAGCACATTGGGAGGCCAAGGCGGGTGGATCACGAGGTCAGGAGATCGAGACCATCCTGGCTAACACGGTGAAATCCCATCTCTGCTAAAAAAAAAACAAAACATTAGTCGGGCGTGGTGGCGGGCGCCTGTAGTCCCAGCTACTTGGGAGGCTGAGGCAGGAGAATGGCGTGAACCCAGGAGGTGGAGCTTGCAGTGAGCCGAGATGGCACCACTGCACTCCAGCCTGGGCGACAGAGCGAGACTCCATCTCAAAAAAAAAAGATAAACAGAGCATCAATCAGCAGCTATGGGGAAATTTCAAGTGGCCTAATAGATATGTATTGGAGACACCAGTGGAAGAGGGGACAGAAAGAATATTTGAAGAAATAATGGTCACATATGTTCCAAATATGATGAAAACTGTAGACCCACAGATCCAAAAACTCGATGAACCCCAAGCACAAACCAAGTTGCACAAACCAATAAAGAAAATATCTTAAAAGCAGCCCCCCAAAAAGAAATATTAAATACAAAAGAACAAAAAATACAGGAGACTTTTCATCAAAAATAATGCAAGCTTAAGACAGTGGGGATACATCTTTAAAGCTTTTTTTCTTTTTTTTTTGAGACAGAGTTTCACCCTCATCACCCAGACTGGAGTGCAGCGGCGCGATCTCGACTCACTGCAACCTCCGCCTCCCAGATTCAAGCAATTCTCCTGCCTCACCCTCCCGAGTAGCTGGGATTACAGGCACCTGCCATCATGCCTGGCTAATTTTCGTACTTTTAGTAGAGACAAGGTTTCACCATATTGACCAAGCTGGTCTCGAACTCCTGACCTCAGGTGATCCACCCTCCTCGGCCTCCCAAAATGCTGGGATTACAGGCATGCCCCACGATGCCTGGCTATTTAAAGCATTTTTAAAAAGAAAACAATAATTAATTAGTCATTCTAGAATTTTTACCTAGCAAAAATATCTTTTAAAATAAATACATAAAATTAAGCATTTAATTTATTTATCTATTTTTTGAGCCAGTCTTGCTCTGCCATCCAGGCTGGAGTTAAGTACTCACTTTGGCAGCACAGATACTAAGAGTGAAATGATACAGAGATTAGTATGGCCTGTGTACACGGATGGAATGCAAATTTGTGATGCATTCCATATATTTTCCCAGTTTTGCTAGATGGAAAGCATTCTAGAGATGTATAGTGGTGATGGTTGCACAACAATGTGACTCATGCCACTGAAACTGTACTCTAAATGTGTACTCAATGCCACTGAACTGTACACTAAAAAATGGTTAAGATGGCAGATCTTATGTGTACTTTACCACAATTTTTGAAGTGAAGAATAAAGATTTTATCAATCATACAAAAGCTGAAAGAATTCATCATCAACAGATCTGCACTACAAGAAATGTTAAAAAGAAGTCCTTCCAACAGTAGTGAAATGATACCAGATGGAAACCTGGATATATACAAAGAAATTAAAAGCAAGAGAAATAGTAACAATGTGGGAAAATATTTTAAAAGTATATTTAAATGTACTTAAAACATAGCTGTTCAAAGCAAATACAATAATAATATATTTGACAAATTATAACATACATGGAAGTAAAATGTGTGAGAAAAATAGCACAAAGACCAGGAAGAGAGACACAGAAATATATTACTGTAAGAATTTTATGCTATGTGTGAAGTGATACCTTATCACTCATGGTAAATAATGATGAGTTAATAATGTATGCCAGAAATCCCAAAACAACCAGTAAAATAACACAACAAAGAGTAATAGCTAATAAACTGACAAAAGACATAAATCAGAATCATAAAAATCAATCCAAAAGAAGACAGAAAATGAGGTACACTGGAAAAGAGATGAGGCTAGTAAGTAGCAAGATCATAGATTTAGACCTAGTCATATAAATAATCATATTAAATGTAAATGGTTTAAACACACCAATTAAAATAAAGTGATTTTTGCATTATATTTTTTAAAGTAGGATCCACTATTTGCTGCCTGCAGAGAATTGATTCTCTTCAAAAATAAAGGCACAAATAGATTAAAAATAAAAGGACAGAAAAATATATGCAACATCAACAATAATTTTTTAAATATGGAATGCCTACATTAATATCAAAGTGTATTTAGAACAAAGAAATTATGAGAACATAGAATATCATTTATAATAAGCTTATCAATTAATAAAATATACCAATTCTAAATGTTGATGCATATAATAATAGAGTTTCAAAATACATAAAACAAAACTCATGGAATTGCAAGAATATATAGAAAAATCTACAATTATAGTCAGATCTCAAAACCTCTCTTTCAATAATTGGTAAAAAAAGGAGGCAGAAAATCAGTAAAGATGTAGAAGACTTGAACAGCACTATAAGCCAACTTGAGCTAACTGATACTTATAGAATGCTCCATCCCAAAACAAGAGAATACACATTCTTTTTAACTACAAAAGAAACATTTACCAACATAGATTGTATTCTCAGCCATAAATAAGTCTCAGTAAGTTTGAAATAAATCAAGTCATGAGAAGTGTGTTTTCTGACCACAATGGAATTAAATTTATTTATTTATTTTTAATTTTATTTAATTTAACCCTCAGTAGTCATAGAAATTAAATTTAAAAAGCAAACATCTCTAGAAAATCTCCAAACATTTTAAAACTAAATATACTTCTGAATAATACATTATTGAAAAAGAAATCGGAAGAAAAATTAGAAAGTATTTTGTATATGTATGTATGTATGTATTTATTTATTTATTTGAGACAGGGTCTCACTCTGTCCCACAGGCTGGAGTGCAGTGGCACAATCACGGCTCACTGTAGTCTCAACCTCTCGGGCTTGGGTGATCCTCCCACCTAAGCCTCCTGAGTAGCTGGGACTACAGGTGCACTCCACCCTGCCCAGCTAATTTTTGTATTTTTTTGTAGAGACTGAGTTTTGCTGTGTTGCCCAGGTTGATCTCAAACTCCTGAGCTCAAGTGATCTGCCTGCTTCAGCCTCCCAAAATGCTGGGGTTACAGGCATGAGCCACCACTCCTGGCTTAGAAAATATTTTTAACTGAATGAAAATGAAAGCATAGCATACCAAATTTGTGGCATGCAGCCAAAAGAGTACTTAGCAGGAAATTCATAGCACTAAATCCCTATATTAGGACAGAAGAAAGGTTTTTTTCAGAGACTTCAAAAAGTAGGAAAAAATGAAGAAAGGAAATAATAAGGAACACAGCAGAAATCAGAAACATAAAATGAAAAAATATAGAAAAAATCAATAAGAGCAAAAGCTGGTTCCTTGAGAAAATTCATAAAATTAATAAATCCATATCCACACAGTTAATCAGGAAAAAAGAAAGAAGATACAAATTACCAATATCAATAATGAGAGAGGTGACACTACTACAGACTCCACAGATATTAAAAAGATTATAATGGAACTTTATGAAAAACTTTATACCAATAAACTTAACAACTTTGATGAAATGGACAAATTCTTTGAAAGACATAGACTGCTAAAGCTCACTCAAGAAGAAATAAATAGGCTAATTATCGCTATATCTATTAAAGAAATTAAATTTGTAGTTTAAAAAGCCTCTGACAAAGAATAATTCAGACCCAGATGACTTCACTGAGGAATTCTATCAAACAATTGAGGAAGAAGTACTAACAATTTTACTCAAATTATTTCAGAAAATTAAAGAGGAAGTGAGGCTTCCCATTCTGTGAGGCCAGCATTACAGATAAAGAATCATAGAAAAGCAAAACTATAGATCAATATCCCTCATGAACAGAAAATTATTATAGAGCTATAGTAATCATACAGTGTGGTATTGGCATCAAGATAGACAAGTGGGGGGGAGGGATAGCATTAGGAGATATACCTAATGCTAAATGATGAGTTAATGGGTGCAGCACACCAACATGGCACATGTATACATATGTAACAAACCTGCACATTGTGCACATGTACCCTAAAACTTAAAGTATAATAATAATAAAATAAAATAAATTAAAAAATAAAAAAAGAAAAGAAAAAAAAGACAAGTGGATCAATGGAACAGAATAGAGATTCTAGAAATAGACTCATACATATGGTCAATTGATTGCTTAAAAAAAAAGTATGAAGGCAAGTCAGTGGAAAAAGAAGAGACTTTTCAACTGTGGTGTTGGATCATTTGAAGAGTTAATAGACCAATGGAACAGCATAGAAAAATCCAGAAGTGTATCTATCTAGTTCCTCCCACCATACACCAAAATAAATTCCAAGTGGATCAGAGATTTAAATGTAAGAAACGAAACTATTTAAGTACTAGAAGAAAACATATATATATATATATTCTTTTATAACCTAGAAATGGAGAAAACCTTCCCAACTGTAACTCAAAATGCAGAAAGATTTAAAAGATTATAATTTTGATCGCATTGTACAAAAAGAAACTTGTGTATAGGTGTGTGTACTATTTTGCGATTTACATCGTAGACAAAAAATAATCCCTAATATAGAGAAAGCTTCTAAAATTTTAGAAGACAGTCAACCTTTTAGAATTATGGGCAATAAATGGGAAAAGACAAGTTATAGAAAATGAAATACAAATGTTTCAAACATATAAAAATACGCTCAACCACCCTTGTATAGGAAGAAATGCAAATTAAAAACTACACTGAGACACGGTTTCTCACCTATCTGCTTGACCAAAAATCCAAAAGTTCAACAGCACGTTCTGTTGGGGAAGCTAAGGCGAAACAATTACTCCATATTTTGCTGTTAGGAATGCAAAACCATATAACTCATAAAGAGGTGAACTTGGCAATATCTAGCAAAATTACCTCGTGACCCAACAATTCAACTTCCAGAAATGTATCCCAAAGATCTACTAACACAAGTGCAGGATGACTTATCCTTAGGCTCTTCATCACAACACTATTGGTAAGAGCAAAAGCTGAGCTGCCTACTAAATTATGGTACAGCCGCACACTGGGTATTATGTGACTTTAAAAGGGCGTAAGGAGGAACTCAGCACACCACTTCAGAGTGACCCACAGCATATCATTAAACAGGAAAATATATAGAAGAGTGTGTGGAGCACACTACCTTTTATGTTTACAAGAGTGAGAAATACAAGCATGTGTATATTGTCTCTTGTGGTTTTGTGTGTGTGTGTGTGTGTGTGTGTGTGTGTGTGTGTGTGTGTGTGTGTGTGTTTTCCTTTTTTTGAGATGGAGTCTTGCTCTGTCGCCCAGGCTGGAGTGCAGTGGCTCGATCTCGGCTCACTGCAAGCTCCGCCTCCTGGGTTCACGCCATTCTCCTGCCTCAGCCTCCCGAGTAGCTGGGACTACAGGCGCCCGCCACCACGTCTGGCTAATTTTTTTTTGTATTTTCAGTAGAGACGGGGTTTCACCGTGTTAGCCAGGATGGTCTCGATCTCCTGACCTCGTGATCCACCCGCCTCGGCCTCCCAAAGTGCTGGGATTACAGGAGTGAGCCACCGCTCCCGGCCTTGTGTCTTGTTTTTTTAGAAAAAGAGGAATAAACTAAAATCATAATTTAAAAATTTACATGTAAAGGAGAAAGGGAACAGAATGGAAGAGACAAGGGGGAAGCCAGACTTCTCTGAATGTGCTGTGACTTACGTTTTGACTTTCTAAGCACATGAATTTTTAAATAATTAATAAATTCCAAAATGAAAAAAAATCCTAAAAATCTAAATTACTAAATCTAAAGTAAAACTAATTAATCTAACTATATATTGATGGCTTAACTAGACAAAGACTAATTATTTCGAGGGACTTTAAAACACAGAGATAGGTTCAGTGAGAAGCCAACTGTAAGACAAGGATTTCAGTGCAATTAACAACAGTAAGGAGTGGTGAAGCCAGTCAATAAAGGGCATGTTATCAAGCCCACTACCACTGCGCGCGACTGCAGCTGAATACAGTTGGGAAACTGGGAAATAGTACCGGATGTGGGCAATTTATCAGAGTCAACAACCTGGTTTTTTCAGCAAATAAATGGCAAGAGAACAAAGAGGAAGTGGAACTCCTTTAGATTAATAGAGGTTTAAAAGGCATCAACAAAATGTAACATATGGCTTTAATTTGCATCCTCATTCAAACAAACCAACTGTAAAGTTATATTTATGAGACAAGCAGAAAAATTTGACTGTTGACAAATGTTAGATGATATTAAGGAATTACTATTAAATTTTAAGTATAATAATGACATTTTATTGTTTAAAAAAAGAATTCTTAACTCTTCTACATGCTGAAGTAGTTAAGAATGAAATAATATCATGTCTGGTATTTACCTTAAAACCATCCAGTGTATGGCTTATTTCACTTAGCATAATGCTTACTAGGTTCATCCATGTTGTCACAAATGGCAAGATCTCCTTATTTTTAAGGCTGAATAATATTCCATTGTATACATATGCCACAATTTCTTTATCCATTCATACATTGACAAACATTTACGTTGTTTCTATATCTTAGCTACTGTGAGTAATGCTGCAATAAACATGGGCATGCAGATACATTTACAAGGTGGTGAATTCATTTTCTTTGGGTATATACCTGAAAAAAACCTTGCTGGGTTATATGGTAGTTTTATTTTTAATTTCTCTCACTTACATGTAAAATATAAAAAACAAAACAACTCGAATATATAGAAACAGAGTAGGACAATGGTTACCTGGGATGGGAAGTTGAAAAAATGGGGAGACAGATGGAAGTCCACGAGTACAAAATTTGTTATGTAGGATGAATAAGCCCAGAGATCTAATGTACAGTGTGAGGACTACAGTTAATAGTATTGTACTGTATACTGGAAATTTGCTAAGAGGGAGGATTTTAGATACTTTTACCACACACACGAAAATGGTAACTATGTGAGATACTGGATATACTAATTTTCTTGACTGTAGTAATCATTTCACTAAGTGTATGTATAGCTACACATCATGTCGTACACTTTAAATGTATACAATAAAAAATACTAACCCAGCAGTTGATGGGAGAAGTGTAGACGAAACAGGATCAGCCATTTGTTTGTAGCTGTTAAAATGCCATTGTGAATACTTTCTCTCTGTTTTTATGTATGTTTACAAATTTATCATAATAAAAAGATTTTTTAATTCAAGCCTATACAATCCCCTGAAAAATCTTTGTGCACTCCTGAATACACATGTACCCTAAAGTGAAGTCCAGTGCAGTACTTAGTAGTTTCAAACATGAAGGAAATCTGGCAGAAAGCTTGGGGATGAGTTTGTCATAAGTTCATAGAAAATGAAGCAAATGAAAATAATGACACCATTAAAAGAACAGCATGATGACAGTCAACAATAATTTAATTGTACATTTTAAAATAGCTAAAAGAGTGTAATTGGATTATTTGTAACATGAAGGATAAATGTTCGAGGGGTTGGATACCCCATTTTCCATGATGTGATTGTTACACATTGCATGCCTATGTCAAAACATCTCATGTACCCTGTAAATATATACACCTACTACATACCCACAAAAATTAAAAATTAAAAAATATATATTAAAAACCTCCACGGAAAACAAAAAGCTGTACAAGACAGGAAATATGATTATGATATATTACATGGCCCAATTATGAATAATGCTCATTTGGTCATAATAATATAAATGCTGAATACTGATAAAACAAAAAATTATGATGTGTCTTTAATAGGAGGATGTGAGGCGGAGAAATATGGATGGCAGGTAGAAGGAGCTGTAAGAGAGCTAGAGCATCATCTTCCATAGCAGTAGGTAGATCCATAATATATAAAACTGAAAAAGATGAGAAAATATGAAAATAACAGTATAAGTATGTTAGTATCAACATAGAAACACAGAGAAATATGCCCAAAGAATCCACTAAAATAGTTAAAACGTGTTGGTCTATAATATTTGCAAGGAGAGGAAACCAGGGGTCTGCTGTTTTTCGGGATATACCTTATGTGACTTTTTAAACAATGTACTTTGGGAAGAAGATAGGGATGAGAGGGGACAGGAGGAAGGTGAGCAAGGGAATAACATGGTCAGATCTCCATTTTAGCAAGATCACCATGGTCTGATTTCCAAGTGTAGGTTGGAAGAGCTGAGAGGTAAAGTCAGTGAGGTCAGTTGATAGGCCGTTATAACAAGAAGAGTAATGATAAAGTTTATGAAGAGGAGAAAACTGGAGATGGGCGATTGGGGCAGGAAGTCAAGCAGAGTGAACCATGAGGGTGAGTATTGGGCTAGAGAGTAACTCTCCCTCTTCATTTTTCTCTCTTCTCTCTCCTTCTTCTCTTCACCCTTGCCCTGATCAAAGCTAAGCTCTCTCTTCCAAAGATTTCTGGCCCTTCCAACAGGGCTAGCCCAGGCCAACTAGTGAATCTCACCTGCACCTCAACTGGCTTCTTTGCCGAAAACATATATGTGAAATGGCTCAAAAATGGCATAGAGCTTCCAGCCTTTCAGACCCAGGTCTTCCCGCATGCAGATGCTTCCTCCTACACCGTCATCAGCACTGCTACAGTGACCCTTGGCTTCTCCTCACTCCACTCCCAGGTCACCTGCCAAGTGGCTCACAGTGAATTGCAGAGTCCCCTCAGAGGGCACGTGAACATCTCCCAATTTCTCCAAGGTAAGCCCCCCACACAAACAGGGCCAACCTTTTGTGACCACTGTAGGCTCCCTGCTTGAAGCATGTCACCTGCATCCTCCCATTCATTCCTCACAAAACCCTCAGTGAGGTGGTGATAAGGTTCCCTGTTTTATATGACCATCCTCCTTCTGCATAATGCTATGATCGAGTTCTTCTCTTTCAGAGCTCCCTTCCCTCTAGCGTCTTTGGGAGGTGGAACTTCATTCACCCATTCAACAGGTTTTGTTGAGCATCTGCTATGTGGTGGCATTATTCTCGGTGCTGGGGATTCCATGGTAAACCAAGCAGACCTGGTTCTGCCTTGCTGAGTTTACAGTCATGTGAACCCGATCAACCAAGACACAAACAACTATATGGTTATATTCATCACATTTGCTATGAAGAGAAAGAACAGATTGCTGAAATATATGAAAAGGAGAGAAATCCAGTTTACTCAGGAAATGTCTTTTTGAAGAACTGATGTTTGAGCCAAGGCATGAAGAATGAAAAGGAGTCAGCCAAGCAAAGTGCAGAGTGTTCCAGGCACAGGAAACAGAGCGTGAAAAGGCCCTGTGATGCAGCGGGGAGCAAGACATGTCTGAGAAGCAGAGACGAAGCCAGTGTGGCTGAGGCTTAGTGAGAGGACGAGTGCATGGAAAAGGAAGAGGCTGGCAAGAGAGGGGCAGGGACCTGATCACCTAGGGCTTCACAGCAAAGAAGTTTCTCCCACTTGAACTCTCCATGGGAACTCCTAACACCATTGTTCAAACCACCATGCCACCACTGCCTTGCCACCAGTCACCACCTTTGAAACATGCTTCTTAAACTCACCCTGGCATCAGGAGAACCAGCAAAGCAGGCTACACACACATGCCCTTTCTGGCTCTTACTTCAAGTCCATCTGCCTTTGCCTTCATAGGGGCTTTCCCCAGGGGCCTGTACTGTCCTTTGCCCCCAACCAACCTCAGCATAGAGTAGTCTCAGTTACCTCCTGCAGATGGGTGAAGTTCCTTCCAGGGTTCCAGAACTCCCTCTTTCCTTCTCTCCAGCTCCAGCCAGAGAAAACCAAGGAGACCCATTAATAGCACCATAGTCTCCACAGCAACCCCATAAGGGAGATAATTTATGGTATCATTGTCAAGAATTTAGCTCCTCATTACTCAAATGCCTCCAGCCCAAAATAGAAGTGTGTCTTGCTTAACCAAAAGATACCACAAGAGAGCTCCAGCCTGGAAAGTGAATTCTAGCCTCCACATCAATCATCTCAAAGAAACTAGAGGCAGCTTTGTGTCCTTGCTTCATTCAGATGAGGAAACTGAGGCCCAGAAAAGTGAAGTGACTTGCCCAAGGTCACAGGGTTCTTCAGTAAGCATGCTGGAATTTGAACCCAGTGTTACACCTCTTCAGATAACTACCTCTGATCTGCCTCCTGTAAGAACCACCTATTCAGAGATACCAGAGAAAGGCAATACCCACCCCCACCTTCCCCAGGAGTGGTGGTTCAGTCATGGTCAGCCCAGAGATTGGTGTTGCGCTGCTCCCCCAACCCTCTCAGAACTGCTGCTCCTTCCATCCTACCCATATAAGTGAAGAAGACACTCCCCATCGACCAAGTCATCCAAGCCTGAAACCTCTTCTCACACAACCCATCACCAAGTTCTATCAGATTTCACTCCCAAATATTTCCTGAACTCATACATTCTTTTCCACTGCCACTACTTAAGTTCATAGTTAAGCTCAAGCCAACATCCATGAGCAATTGCAAGAGCCTCCTAATTGATCGCTAATATCCACCATTGCCCTCCACAGTCCTTCCCCAAAACTCCCAGCAGCCAAGGGGATTTTATAAAGGAAACCAGATCATGTCTCTCCTTTGCTTAAAATCCTACAGTAGCTCATCACTTCTCTTAGGGAAAAAAAAAATTATTACTGGGATGTTCAAATGTGATATTCAAGCATTTTTGTGTATATTTCCCTAAAATAATTGTGAAGAACTATGTAGTGTATCATAAATTTTAAAGTTGACTCTAAAATTTTTCATTTTAAGCTTAAATGGTTGCACAGAACATAACTCCTGGAGTATTACAAATGTTGCATCACTCCAAAACATATTCAGTGAAAAAAATAACATCATCATAATTTAATTTCCACCATGATCCATTTAAACATACATAAAGAAGCTCTTCTTTAATAATCAGGCATCTTATATCATTCCTTTTACTTCTTAAAGTTGTATTTCCATTCTAACTCCCATGAAGAATTTTACCTTAATGTAACATATTTTATTGTGGAAAATCTTTTCTTCACTATAAAATCATACAGATCATATCACAGAGAACTATGAGAACACAGAACTCAAGCAAAACTACATCTGTAAGTTGAAATTTAAAATAAAATTTTTATGACCATAAGGCTCTCAGTGTCAAAAAACATTCTTTTGGATTGAATTGCACAATAGATCCAAACAATCTAAATATATAAAAATGTTTGATAAGTAATTATTAAAATAGCCATTAACTTGGTATTGGAAATGCAGTTTGGCAAGGTAGATGGGGGAGTGGATGGTGCTTTGGTTAAAGCAGGCTTCCTGGCCAGCAGTATTTGAAATGTCCTTTTATTTTGCATCCCAAAGTCTTTACACCAAGGACAATGCCCCACTTCAGGAAGTGTGGGAGGAAGGCCTTTCTTTTGTGATATGGGAGAAGGAAAATTGAGAAACCGGAGGTAAGAAAAGAAAATGGCCCTGATGCTCATTCTCAGGCAGATCAATCTAAGTAAACAGTCTTATGAGGGTTCAGGATCTGGAAATTAATTGTATTAAAATAATGTTCGTATGCCTTAGAATGTCTTTAAGTGCCCCCAGGCCACCTTTAAGTGTAGCCAGCCTCCAGATTGGCTATGAATTCAGCCTCACTCACCCATCCTCTCTCTCATTCACTTTGATCTTCTTTCTAAAGTCCATGGAAACTCAGGGCCTCTGCCCAGGTCCATCTGTCTGCTGAGATGCCATTCCCACCCCCAACCTCTCCCAGCACCCCCCTTCTCCTGCCCCACAAACCCTTTTGCCTAATGTTTCACAATTATTAGGGATATATAACAAATTATCCCCAAATTTATTCCAGTATTCCAAATTTACTCCATATTCCCTTAAATGACTATGCTGTTAGATGCTGTGGGTTAGGAATTCCAGCAGGGCTGGGCAAGGACAGCTTGCTGTGTTCTATGATGGTTGAGCCTCAGCTGGACAATTCAGAGGCTGGAATCACCTAAAGGCTCCTTCACTAACATGCCTGACCATTGGTCCTGGCTGTTGGCTTGGGGCCTTTGTTCTTCTTGGCATGGGCTTTTCCTTATTATCTTTCTGTTGCCAGAAAAAGGGTCCCTATTCAGGCCCCAAGAGGGGGTTGTTGGATCTGATACAGGAAGAAGTTAAAGGCAAGTCACAGAGTACAGTGAGAAGAGATAATTTATTGAAAGTTACTCACTTACAGGGTGGGGTGTCCTCAGAAAGAAAGCAGAGGAAAGCCTCTTCTTTAAGTTTTTCTTATAAAGGTGTCTTGTCCATGTAAAAGCTAAGCTAAGCTGTGTCTACACTCATGTGAGCAGACAGCGTGACAAAATTTATTATTCTATTGATTTAAAGAAAACTATCCTTGACATTCTAGAGTTTGAGTACATCAAAGAATATAATGATCTTGAAAACATATATTTTTATGGGTATTGGGACATCCTGACTTTCCACTGTTATAGAAATGTGTCTTTGTAGGAATCTTTAGGCTTTTCTTCCGTTGTAAATATCTTATAACTGTCGGTCGTAACCAGCAAGGAATGTGCCTTGTTAGTTCCAAGACAGAGTTGAACTTAAAGTAGCATTAGTCTGGCTCTCCTAGGCTCCTGCTTCCCCAACATTTCCACATAGGCTAGTAATAGCTTGGTGGCTGTGTCCCAAGGGTGTGTCCCAAGAAAGAGCTAGGTAGAAGCCATACCAACTTTCATTACCCAGCCACAGAAGTCACACAGTGTTGTCCCTGCTACATTCTATTCATCAAAGCAGTTACAAAGTCCAGGGGAGCAGAAATAGACTCCTCCTCTAATGCGGAGTAGCAAAGTTCTGGAAGAGTATGTGGCTGCCATAATTTTTGGAAAATGCAATCTGCCACATAGAGTTAACTCTTAATTCGTCTTTCATATTTGAATTTCATATTTGAATCTTTCAAATTCAAAGATTTCCACACAAAGGTTACTTCCTCTGGAGACCCTTTCCTAACCTGCCCTCCTGCAGACCAGGTCAATTGTCCCTATTGTAGGCTCTTGGAACTCCTGTAGGAGTCATGTGACTGCTTTGTTTCCTTCCCGTCCTCCTCACCAGAGCGGGAGCTCCATAAGGCAAGGAACATGCCTGTCTTGGTCAATGCTGTATTCCAAGAACCCTGCACACTGCCTAGGAAGGTGTAGACACCCCTTGAGCACGCTTTGCATAAAGGAAGAAACTAACGAAGGCAGTGCTATTGTTTCAGTTGTGCCCACAGTGAATATCTCAGCACACCATGTCCCAGGACTCCAGACTGCCATTCTCACCTGCCATATACAAAGGTTTCACCCCAAAGTCACACAAATTGCCTGGCTAAAGAGAAATGGATACTTCAAGACCTGTGAGGCACTTGGCCCCACCAAGAACCCAGATGGCACATTCACCCAAGACAATCATATCCTGGTCAACACTTCAGAGTGAAAGGATAAAAAACAGTTCACCTGCCAAGTGTGGCAGAATAACCAGGCTCTGGTCCAGGCCAGTAGGCAGCTGAGCAGGCCCAAAGAAGAGCAAGCGAGTCTGGGAGAGTAGGACCGGAATAACCAAGCAGGTAAGGGCTCAGACCTAGAGACAGACAGGCCAGGTTCAAATGCAGGCTTTGCTGTTCTCACCATGTGTGACCTTGGAAAAGTCACTTCACCTCTTTCTGAATTATCTATAAAATGGAACAGCAATTATGGCAACCTCTTTAGAGCATTACGTCTCCAGTACCAAATTGCAGTAAGTGCTGCTTTCATCAGCTGAATCCTGACCACCCACTCATTTTACCAGATACTCCTTTGAATAACTAAGCTAATCTGAAATATCTTTCCCCAGTTCCCACCCATCCTCCAAAAGCCATTCAGATTTAACAATTACTGAGCACCTATTAGGTACTTTGGGTGCTCCCATTTGATACAAAAACATTCTGAAATGCGTGTTATAATCCCCACTTTACAGATGAAGGAAACTGAGGCTTATATAGGTGAGGTGACTCTCCCCAAGACCAGGGTATAGTCTTGGGACCTGAGTCAGGGGTGGGGCTGAGCCTGCTTGGGGGTCTAGTGGAAACAGGATCTAGCCTCATCCTGACATTGTTCTGTCACCAGGTACCCCTGTGTGCAACTCCTTCCTGCTCCTTTGCTGGAACTTTCTGCCATCTGTGTCCTTAGGAGGAGCCTTTCTTCCAGGTAAGGGGGGACCCTAGATGGGATTAGGCTCCCAAGGGTGGGACTCCAGCTGACAGGGGCACTGTGAGAAGAAGGCTGTGGAGCCCTCCCATTTCTCCTGTACCTTGAATGGGTGTTGATCCATAGGGTCCCCGAGAGTTGCACCGCTATCCCCTTGACCTTCCTCTGTCTCTCATTCAGCCTGAGGATGTACAAAGAGGCAGGTTCCCTGGTCAGGGCAGGAGAGGGGGCACTTAAGGAGGAAGAAACAGAGAGAGCTGGTATGAAGACAGCACCCTTGAGGTAGACTCTAAGGAGAGGTGTGAGAAAATCATGGGCTGTGCCTCAGCCCCTGCTTCCTCTACAGGTCATAGACCCCGCAAAGGCAGTCCTCCACAGTGACATAGGACCCTCAGTCCCTCCTGTCTTATTTAGGAGGACTGGACTTAGAGGAGGACCTGCCATGATGTCTGTAGCTGCTCCCTCAGCTTCTCTTGCCTCATCAGCCTTCTGAGACCTGAACAGCACTGGCCATCCCTCCCTGTCTCCTGCAGCCACCAGAGGAAGGGAGCACCTAGACTGGAAAGGTCAACAGTGAGAGGGAGATTCTCATGCCTTACCCAGGAATGAATTTTCTGTGGCAAGTCTGACCTCAGAGTCCATGATACTGACCAGGAAACCCAGCAGAGGCAGGATAGGCTCCAACCCTGAGGAAAATAGATGCCTGCATTTCTGATGGCTCCTTCCTGGCTCATCAAGGAAAGCCCATTGCTCTGCCATGAAACCCAAGCTCTGCCATGAAACCTCTACAGCCCCATCATTAAAACTGAGTTAAATGAAACACTTATGGCCAATAAACATATGAAGAAATGGCCAACCTCATTAGTAATCAGGAAAAGCCACGGCAAAACCACACTGAGATGTCATTTTGTCCCTGTTCAAATAGCAAAAGTAAAGAAGCCACTGGATCTTTTTTGCATTGCTAGTGGGCACATAAATGGACACAGCTGTTTTGGGAAACAGATTGGAAAATTTTGTTGTGTTAAACACTCACATACCCTATAACCTGGCACTTCCACTCTCAGGTTACACTCAAAAGAAACTTGCACATGTGCACCAGGAGATATGTACAAATATGTACATGGAGACATTGTTTAAAATTAGCAAAACCTGAGAACAATCCAAATGCCCATCTGCAGTACAATGTGTGATAAACTTAGTACACTCACAGAATGGGATATTCTATAGAAAGCAAAATTAATTAACTACAGCCGCACACAGTAACATGGATAAATTTTAGTAATACAATATTGATGGGGGTAAGTAAGTCCCAGAGATTTCATGAAAAATGATGGTCTTTTAATAAAGCTGAAAACAGCTAACATTAGTTTTTAGGAATACATAGAAATACAATGAAACCCATTTTTTAAAAGGAACAATGAACACAAGATTAAAAATAGCAGTGACCTTGGATGTAGGAGGGCAGAAGGATGAGAATTTGGGGTACATAAAGATAGGTGGAAATTATCGTGAAGGTTCTAGCTTTCATGATGGATGGTGGCTTCACAAATGTTTATATTAAGATTTTTTTTAAATGGACAGATTAACAATATAAAATTGATATAGGTATGCAGGTAAATAGATAGATGCATGGTTGATTGGAAGGGAGAGAGGGAGTGAGGGAAGATAGATGGATGGATGGATGAATGGATGGACAGATGGACGGATGGATGGATGGGTAGACAGATGGGTGAACAAATGACCAAAGGGCAGCTATATAGATGAAGGGGTAGGTAAACAAATTAATAAAAAGGGTCATGCATTGTCAATAATTATAGTATCATGCAACATGAATTATGATAGGTACAATTCTGTGTACTTAAGATTCAAAGGAAAAAAATAAATGGAGGGACATTATCTAGAGAACCCCAAGTTCCCTTCCTATTGTGACATTCTACAGTTCCATATAAGGAAGAAAAACAGTTACTGGGTGCCACCATGGGCCTGGGACTTCATGTGTGGTTTTATCTCATTTCATCCTCATACCAGTCTTACAAGGTGGGCACCATGCTCCATTTTGCAGATGAGGGGACCTGCCCAATGTCACTTAGATAACAAGTGGTAGAACCAAGAAATCCAGATTCAAACCCAACTCTTGTCACTGCTTTCCAAGGAGCCACATTGCCCAGCATTCTAGACACAGATGGGTGATCTTCACCCATCCTCAATCTATTGCTTCCTGGCCTGTCAGGCCAACGGTTCTACAGTAAAGCCAACCTGATGCCTATGGGTGGTGAGGGAAAGGGAAGAACACATGTGTGCCCTTTCCCAGGTTTGAAATGTGTCCCTGGAGTAGATCGAGGGTTCATTATAAGCACCAAAATGGCCCTGTGAAGACTTTGGAAGATGACGTAGTCCAGAAAAGCCTTTTACAGAAAAGGCTTTTTGTAAAAGGGTAAGTATGCCCAGAGGAGATAAACATCCTGCTCTATTTTTATTATGTAGTTTTACTGTGACTTTGAACCTTTATAGTCACAGAAACAGAGATATTCTCCCTCAGATATGCATCTCCTTTTCAAAATTTTCTACTCACAATAGAGGTGCTTCAGCTTCAATATTCCCATTCCTGGGCTCCAATGTTGAGGACCTTGAGGATGTCTTGGCCTTCTTCAATGATGAGGGTATCATGAAACAAGAATTATAATTTACCTCCCCCTTGAAGCAGAGCCAGGACTAGGATGAGGCAAAGTTCCTAGGAAACAAAAAGTAAGACACTCATTCTGAGGCCTGAGCAAGCGCAGTGTCAGCATGTATAACACCTTGTGATATGGTTTGGCTGTATCCCCACCCAAATCTCATCTTGAATTGTAGTTGCCATAATCCCCATGTATCATGGGAGGGACCTGGTGGGAAGTGATTGAATTGAATCATGGTGGTAGTTACCTTCATGCTATTTTCATGATAGTGAGTGAGTTCTCACGAGACCTGATGATTTTATAAGGGGTTTCCCCCACCTTCACTCTGCACTTCTCCTTGCTGCTGTCATGTGAAGAAGGACATGTTTGCTTTCTCTTCTGCCTTGACTGTAAGTTTCCTGAGGCCTTCCCAGCCATGCTGAACTGTAAGTCAATTAAACCTCTTTCCTTATAAATTACAGTCTCGGGTTGTCTTTATTAGCAGCATAAGAATGGACTAATACATCTTGTCTCTACATTTTGTGCCCTAGGTGCCCTAAGTTTCCAAGTCTCATTAATCCTGTCCTCTCCTGTTCATCTGCATGGTCACCCAGACCCTTGTCAATACTTACCTAGGTCACTCCAACAGCCTCCTTCCAGGTCTTGCTCTGGAGCCTCGCATCCATCCTTTACATCAAAATGGCCTCTTAAAACATTTTCTTGGGGTTCCAGTGACTCACACATGTTACCCTAATACTTTGGGGGTGCAAGGCAGGAAGACCACTTGAGAACAAGAATTCAAGACCTGGGTATATATTGCCTTGGCAACGTAATGAGACTTGGTCTCTACAAAAAAAAATTTTTTTTAATTAGCTGGGTGTGATAACACATACCTGTTAAGTACTCAGGAGGCTGAAATGTGAGAATCACTTGAGCCCAAGAGGAAGAGTCTACAGTGAGCTGTGATGGCGCCATTGCACTCCAGCCTGAGGGACAGAGCAAGACCCTGTCTCAAAAACGTGTGTGTGTGTGTGATATATACATGTAACATTTTCTCAAAAACTTTAGCTAGTTCCTCATTCCCCCAATCATACTTCAAAAAGGACATAGAGGATGTCCCCAAATCATACATCAAGAAGGACATAGAGGATATCCCAGGTGTTGCATACCTTGAAGCCAGAGGAAAAATGAAGCTGCCAGAAAAGTCACAACTTGAACATAAAGATTGCCTATCCTTTTAAGGAAACCACCCATATCCTAAGGAAGCCCAGTCCAGAGTTTCCAGATGAACATTTGTTCATTTCAAAGAAGGCTATGCCTTTGTTTATTCCACACATATTCCTGAGCGCACACTATATTTCAAGCACTGTGTGGGCACTGAGCAAACATTAGTAAGCATTGGTAAAAGTGGTCCTCACCCTTGTGGTGAGGGTACAGTCTGATGAGGACAGATAGAAAGGAAAGAAAGGTGGGAGTGATACAGGGGAGGGAGGGAGGGAGGAAGGAAGAAAGAATTTCAAATGTGATGAGTGCTCTGAAGAAAATAAAAACAGTGCACAAATAATGGGGATTGCTAGGATAGAGATCTTCACAGAGTTAATAATGAAGTGCTGCTAGCTAGACAGAATGGTAAGCTAGTAGCCTTTCTGAAACAGGAACATTTGGGCTGACATCTGGAAGTTTCAAAGAGCCTGGGAAATACCTTCTTGTTGGAGGGAACCTATTATGCCAAACTTTAAGGTATGAAGGAGCATGGAAGGTTCAGGAAATGGTAGGGAACCAGTGGGGCTGGAGAGTGTGAGCAATGGGACATGGGACAATGCTGGAGGTATGGGCAGGAGACAGATTACACAGGGATACTGGTCACAGTGGAGACTTTGGGATTTATTTAAACAATGGGACGACATTGCAGAGGTAGAGACTCTCAGATGTCTCACTGCCCAGATTGCAAATTACACCAAGCAAATACAAGATTTACATTTTAAGAAATCACAATGACTTCCGTGGAGCAAGTAGACAAGGGGAAAGCAAATAATCAGAAAATTCAGATGTGAGGTTATTGCAGTAAACCCAGAGTCAATGGGTAATCTAAGCTAGGTGGTGCCAGCAGAGATGGAGAGAAATTGACTAACGGGAGGTGAGCCTAAAATTGGAAGTGACAGGACTTGCTTGGGGACTGAATGTGAAAGGCAATGGAGAGGGAGGATTGGAGATGACTTCATGACAAGGTTGAGCAATGGATGAGATGAGGAAGACAGGTGGAGGGATGGGTTTGGTGGTGGAATGGAACTGAATTAACAGTTCCATTTTAAACATGTTAAATATAATGTTGGTTCGTCATCAAAGTGGAGCTGTTAAGTAGGCACACGGACAGATGCATCTGAAGTTCAGGAGACGGGTCAGAGCTGGAGAGTTATTTTTGGAGTCATTTGGTCTGTTGCCAGGGCAGCCAATCAGCAGAGCTAAAATATCCAGATTTTCCTTTTCCATCCTTCTGGTCTCCCAAAAGCCCTTTGATACAATGCAGTCTCCACGCTCTGGTGCAAAACAAGTATTAATACTTATGCAGGCATGGACTGGAAGAGAAAGCAGAAAGACAGAATGCTTTCATTTGTCAAGACGGCATGATTATAGATATATTTTTCCTTTCTATTTTCATATCTACTGAGAGTTGTTGGCATATTTCTTCAACAAATCACTTTAAAAATAATAAAATATGGTCTGAACTAGTGGTGAAAAGGATCTGATATCTGCAGGGGCTGGAAATGCCCCCTTGTTCCCTGTCACCCTGGTCTGTCTTGGTAATCTTCAGTAACCTCAATGGAAACTGGGAGAAGGTCCTGCAAAGAGAGTAACAGAGACAGAAAGCATTCAAGGTGAGCAATGAGACATCTAAGACCCACTGCACCTTTAGCATCATAGCCAATCTGAGCTGGTAAAGCTTTTGGTACCACTTTGTACAATCTCTTCTCCCCAGTCCTAGTTCACAAATGTGGAAATTGTGTCCTAAAGGTATTAGGTGATATGATCAAAATAAAACAACACAACTCTCAAGCCACAATTCCAGGTGTGCAAAAGTATTACTTTTTAAAACTTCTCCATAATCTTTTTTTTAAATTTTATTATTATTATGCTTTAAGTTTTAGGGTACATGTGCACAACGTGCAGGTTTGTTACATAATTTATATTTTAAACACCCTACCCATGAGCTTAATCATGGTCAATTTAGGATCTCCTCCATCAAAACGGGGTCCCCCAGCCTCCGCATCCCCAGTGGTGTCTAAGGTGCCTTGGTGACATCAGTCCATGCAGGTATCTGCTAAGATGTCTGCCCCCTGTGAAGCTCCTGGCAGTAGATCCACACAGGGGCTTCTAGCAATAACTTCTTTCTGATCCCAGAGCTTCTCCACACCATTGGATTTCAGCTCCACCCATAATCTTCTTAAGCACACTGGAAAATGTGACTACTCTGGCACCCCCAGAAGATTCTGCAGGATGGTCTCAGGTCCTCTCCCCCTAAGTTGAGCATAGATCCCATTCTGCTCTTCTGCTGCCAGGCCAGGCTGGGAGCTGGAACTCCAGGAACCATGTCACCAGGAAGGAAGACACAAGTCCTCCTAACTCCCCAGCTCCTCCAAATTTGACCTGGGGTTTGCGGGAGCAGGTTGTAGTACTCTTGTCAGGGGCCCATCAATGTTGGTTCTCTCAAGCACTCCTCCCCTCTCCCACAAACTGGGCAATGCCCCCTCAGGTAATCAAGATGGAGGTTGGGTCAGGGGTAAGTGGTGAGGAAGGGGCTGGCTCTGCAGAGCCCATATTTTTCCAAACGTTTGCATCTTCCATCTGGATCTCAGCTTTTGCAACTTAAAGGTGCATTTGCTCTCTGTTTCTGCGGTGACAGCCTCCCATGAGGCAGATGCATCACATTTTTCTGCTGCCTAATTTGGCCACTGTCAAACATACAATACTGAAGGAAAGGCATTGGTGAAAACAGCACTGCCAGAGCTCTGCAGTGACACCAGCAGGCATGTTTTATAACGATGCGTCAGAATCCTCTACACGCTAAAGTCGAGTGAATCTTAACCCTGTGAACATACTCGAATCTTCAAACTATACATTTTTTATGCGTGAGTTATACCTCAGCAAAGCTAGAAAAGAAAAAAAAAGATGTCTGCATTAACCACGCAAAACACACCAATTCCCTGTGTGCCTTATCCCTATAAATTTCTAATACTCTTCCATTAGTAAAAGGTGGGAAGAGAGAAAAGAATGAGTTTCATGAAAACCATTCGGAACCCTCATTTTTTTTCCAGAGTCCCTGATGTAAGTGATCTCAGGCTTGGCAAGAAAAAGCAAAAAAGTCAGATAGAAGGAAAGTTCAGACTTATTTATTATTTATTTACCTTGTTCTCAGAAACTAAAGCTCAAAATCCACAACCTGTAGTTTCTGTGATGCTTTAATAAAGGTGATATTGGACTCATCCATATACAAGTGTTTTTTGTTTGTTTATTTGTGTGTTTGTCTGTTTTACCATATTCATTCTCTGTGCACAGAGACAGTGAGCTACTTGAATTTTTTCCCCAGAAGCCTCCAGACAACTCCCCTTCACATCTCAACATGTGTCCCAGCCTCAGGGGACTGGCTGCCATAACTGCCTTGGACCAATGATGATTCATCTCCTGGGGCTGGGGAAGGGCCTAGGTTTCCCTGAAACTGTTGCTGGGTGGAATGGCTATTCTGTTAGCAAGGCAGGAGGGACATTTGGCTGTGCAGAGGCCCAAACAAGGGTATCTTCCAAAATGGATGGTGAATTCAGTGAGCTATGGAAAACTGCACCCTCCTAGGATGCAAAGCCCTAGACATTTCCAGGCCTGTGAGGTGCTGAATTCATGCCAGAGAAGATTTTGGCTTCAAGAACCAGAACTTTGGGAGCTTCATCAAATATCCCCAAGGAAGAGCTTGTCATAGAGAGACTGCAGCAGGTAGTAGAACCGGCCAACTTCAAATGGGACTTTGTCCAGTTAGGCCTGGACAAAGAGCAATGGCCATAGTGACCCATAAAGACTGAGAACCAGAATTCATCTCCTTTGTCTTGGAAGGCAACAGCCCCGGTGCCCTGATCCAATCCAAGAGTGGAGTGGGGAGCTATGGAAAATAGCTGCTATTCACTTTCTCTCCAACCATGGTAGAGGCACATGCTCAAACTGGATTTCATAGGATTAAGAAAAAAAAATCTTAACATTACATGCTTATTACAAAGGAAAAAAGAATACAGTGGAAATGCCTGGAAGACATCACAAAGTAATCAAAGTGAACATGACTAGTAATGGGACCGATTGTGTGCCTTCTGATTGGAAGCAATGAGAACACAGCATCACTTCCAGATATTCCTGCCAAAGGTGCCAAAACCTGACTCTCATCATGAGGAAGTGTTAGAAAAATACAAAATTAGGGGCATTCTACACAATAACTGGCCTATACTTTTAAAAAGTGTCAGGGTCATAAAGTAAAGGAAAGGAGATTTTTTTTCTATATTAAGGAAAACTAGAGAGGTATGGCAACTAAATGTAACTGGATCCTTTCTCTATAAAAACATGTTATTGAAACAATTGGCAAAACTTGTAGGGAATCTAAAGATAAGATGGTAATAATGTGCCTATGTTAATTTCCTGATTTTGATGGTCTGGTGGTCATGCAGGAAAATGTTCTTATTTGTAGGAAATACGCACTGAGATATTCAGGGGTGTCTTAGTCCGTTTGGGCTGCTATAACAAAATGCCATTAGCTGGGTAATTTATAAACAACAAAAGCTCATTTCTCACATTTCTGGAGGCTAGGAAGTCCAGGGTCAAGGCACCAGCAGGTTCACCATCTGGTGAGGGTTTGCCCTCACTTCCAAGATGTCACCTTGCTCCCTGTCCTCACATGGCAGAGGGGATAAACGCTGTGTACTCACATGACAAAAGATGGCTGAGGAGCTCTCTTGAGCCTCTTTTCTAAGGGTACTAATCCCATTCATGAGGGTGGATTCCTCATGACTTAATCACTCCCCAAAGGCCCTACCTCTTACTACCATCACATTGGCTATTAGGTGCTAACATGTGGATTTGGGGAGATACCAACATCCAAGCCATAACCAGGGACGATAAGGCAATATGCCAGCAATTTATTCACAGATGTTTCTGAAAAGAGGCTCTTTATCCCACACTTGTAACTTTTCTACCAGATGAAGATTGTTTCCAAAAAAACTGTAATTAAGTAATATTCAGGTATTATGGAGCAATTCATATCTGCTGCAAAACAGATAGGTAGCTGACATACACTGAAAGCGTGCTGTGTGCCAGACTGTTCTGAGTACTTTCCGTGTTATAAACTGCGTTACTCTCATAACAACCAGATGAGGTATAACCTATACTTACCTTAATTTTGCAAATGAGAAAAAATGAGACACAAAATTTTATTGACTTGTCCAAGGTTGCACAGCTCCTAAGTGCCTGGCTGGAGTTTGAACCCAGGCAGTCTGGTTCAAACTCCCTTGTTCCTAACTACCACATACTCTCTTCTGATACTTTTGTCCAGTCCAATGGCCTTATATATCATTGAAATATAGCTCAAGGACTCAAATTTATTTCTCCAGCTGGGACTTCCCCCATGAATTTCATGTCCATCTGTCTACTCAACAGCTCCATTTGTCTGCCCAATAATATCTCAAAGCTTACATCCCAAAATCTGGCCTTCTGCTTATCCCCCAAAACTCTGCTCCACCCACAGACTCCCCCATTTCGGCTGATAAGAACTCCATCTCTCCAGCTGATGAGCCAAAAACCTAGGAGGTATGCTTGATTCCTCTCCTCTCTTATCCCGCTCCCTTTATGTCAGGAAATTACATTAGCTTTAAAATATATTCAGAATCTGACTATTTCTCACTATCCCCATTGCCAGATTTCACCCTTCATCCTCTCGTTCCTGGATTGCTGCCATTAGCCCCTCACTGGTCTCCCTATAGCCAGCATAGGAATCCTTTCAAACAAAGGCCAGATCATGTCCCACCTCTTCCCAAAACTTGCTACAGCTGCTCATCTCACTGCAAGTAAAGCCAAAGTTCTTACCTTGGCCCTCACAGCCCCTCACCACCTGCTTACCCCAACCCCCTTTCCCTGGTCTATATTTCTTTCCACAGGCCTTATCACTTTCTAAGATACTATATCATTTACTTATTTACTTTATTTATTATTGTGTATTGCCTGCCTCCCCAATTGGGATGTGTACTTCAGTTAATAAGGACAGTGAGTTTTGTCTGCCTTATTCACTGATGTATCCTAAGCACCAAGAATAGTTCTGGTACATAGCGCATGCTAATATTTGTTGAATGAATCAGTGACTACACCCTACAATCTCTCATATTGGGGTGAGAGCAGAAATGAAGAGAAGGATGAATAGACAGCAGGAGACAGAGGGGGAGAAAGAAGAGAGAGCCCCTAGGTCTAGGGCTGCAGAGAACATTCCTTAGTCCTGCCAGCTCTAATAGCTTGTCCCATGATCTGTGGCTAGAAGTTATCACAATATTTATGAAAATCACTCTTTGGGAAGGTAGCAATGAATACTGGATAGTAAGAAGGAGTTTGTGTGCTTGTTCTGGCCTCAAACCCAGGGCTGATCAATGTCTACCATTTCCCTGGCTCCTGAAAGATGCATTCTCTGATGTGGAGCATTGTCATGTGTCATTACCAGGTTCCAGGGAGGGAAAGTGAAGAAAGAGCTGCCCTTTGCTTCACCTCTTCTGAGTAACAGGGTTGAAATTCTCTATCTTCTCTCTGGCTCCAAGCACTCTCCTGCCCTGCCCCTCCCTTCTTAGGATAAATCCAGTTAACAGAGCCTGAGGCCCCAGGCACCATGACTGGCCACATCCAGTCCACCCACATCGGTGGCCCCTGGCCAACTTTACTGCCAACCCTACTTGTGGGATGCTCCTGTGTATAGGATAAAGCACACAGAACAAGGTGCTGGGAGGCTGAACCCAAAGGCTACTAACATGGCAGACCAAGACGAGCGAGAAAGGAAAAGCCCATACAAAATAACAACAACCTTCCCCAATTTCTTTCCAAGTCAAGTTTACCCAAACTTGTTGAACAGTCTCCCTTTGTGTTCCTGTCCCTGTACCCAGTTTATTGAACAAGCTGGACTCAGTAGGGTTGAAGCAGAAAGCTGCTTCATTCTTCTTCACCACTGCCCTTTCAAATCTGCCAAATTATTCCTCCTAAGAGGCAGTAATGGTACCTATTATTCAGGTAATAAAAATTGCAATCTCTCATTCAATATGAGTGATGGTGGGCTTCTTGGCTATTTTCCACCTTGCTCTTCCATTCTTCTTTTCTCTCACTGCCACCTCTGGAGCAGAGGAAAGGGGAAACTAAGGACTAAGGCTGGGGTGATTTATGACTTGCCCATATTCTTGCCACCTCATCAGGCCAAGGGCAGGATTTAAACCCAGATCCCCCTGACCAGAAGCAGAGGTCTTTCTGCTCCACTGCAGCTATAACACATTTATCTCTCTTTCCCTCTCTATAACACACACTCGCCATAACACACGTATCTCTCTCCCTCTCTCTCTCTCTCTCTCTCTCTCTCACACACACACACACACACACACGGTGTGGGGAAGGCGTTTAGGTCCTTCCTAGCTAGACATTCTGCTGCCGAAATAATGATGCCTGAATATTTGGTGAGAACAAAAGCGCTGCATACATAGGCATGTCAAAAGGAAGCCTAAAAATATTTAACAGACACAAAAAATAGTCGGAATCCAGGTGTTCAGGCTGCTTTAGGGAGGTGTTGCTTCCCGGGATGTTGGGAGACTACCAGATAAATGCTCACGAAACAGCACAGCTCAGATCAATTACATCACGTAGAAAATCGGACAGAAGAGGACTTGCTTCCTTACTGATAAAAGACCTAAGACTAAGGCTGACCTTGACCAGGGTATACAACCAGGGTGATTGAAAGAAATCCCACTCCAAGTGGAGCCGGGCTACATAGGACCTGGGGTGGAAGATAGATCCAAGGAGCAAGACGGAGGGATCTAGCTCCAATTTCTAAGTCCTGGACAAGGGAAACCTGTGTCACTGTGTTGTACACTGGAAACTGCTCAGCTACGTTGAGTAGTGAAGTAAAAAATGAAGTATTAATTTAATGAAAGTACCCAGCATGGCCCTGAGAAAGTGCACTATTTTATTGGGAAAAAAAAAAAACTTTGTTAAATATTATAAGGTGCTCAGTAGCATTAATAATCATGCAAACTGGGAAGAAACCCCAACTCCTGACTTCTCTTTGGGAGGGGAAAGGAGTGGAACATTGATCCAATATTTTGACTTTTTGGGGTGCTGCCAAAGGACTAGTTTCCATCTTGCCTGAATTTAAATGCTGACGGGAATGAGGACCAGGTTTGAGGCCACTGAAAACGAAGATGATCAACATGACTTGGTCTAGCACCAAAATATGCAGTATCACAGATAAATAATAGGTGGAGCTATTAGTTTGTTCTAGCATCAGTCTGCAGTATCACAGACAGAAACTAGGTGGAACTTCAGTACCGTGGCTTACTGCAGCACCAGCCAGACCGCAGCATCATAGGCAGACACTAGAGGGAGCGCTTCAATAGAAAGACCTCTTCCGTTACGTGATTACACACTAAGTCCCAAAAGGGTGCATTCCCAGAGAAGGGTTGACAGGTCTCCAGATTCTCTAGCCAGGCTGATTGGAGAAAGTCCTCCCTGTAGAAAACCAGACCACAAAGACTGCACGGGGTAGCTGAGTTTTCAAATGCCAAAGTACCAAGAGAAGATAAGAAGACATATAAAGGGACAGGAAAACATGGCCTATTCAAAGAAACACATTACATCTCTAGAAACTGACCCCAAAAAAATACACGAATTATCTGACCAAAAAAATGCAAAATAATAATCATAAGAATTTTCAATGAATTAAAAGAGAGTACAGACAGACAACTAAATGAAATCAGGAAAACAATGGATGAACAAAAAGAAAATATCAAAAAAGAGATAGAAGCTATGAAGAAGAACCACACAGAAATTCTGGAACTGCAGAATACAATAACTAAATTTAAAAATCCACTAGAGGGGCTTAGGAACAGATGTTACCAAGAGAAGAAAGAATCAGCAAATTCAAAGACAGGAGTTTTGAAATTACTGAAGCAAAGGAGAAAAAAAGAACTAAGAAAAGTAAAAGGAGCATAAGAAACTTATGGGACACTATGTGTAACATTATGGAACAACCTACACACTATGAGAATCTAAGACAGACAAGAAAAAGAGAAGGCACCACAGAGACTTTTAAAAAAAATGATGGCTGGAAATTTTTCTAATCTGAGGGAAAAAGTAGACATACAAATTCAAAAAGCTCAACAAGCTCCAACCAGGACGAATCTAACAGCATTTACACTAAGACACAATTAAACTGTCAAAAATAGAAAAGAGGCTGAAGTGGGAGGATCACTTGAGCCCAGGAATTTGTGGCTACAGCAAGATGTGATCACGCCACTGCACTCCAGCCTGGGTGACAGAGGGAAACTTTGTTTTAAAAAAAAAATGACAAAGAGTGAATCTTGAAAGCAGCAAGAGAAAAGCAACTTGTCACATACAAAGGAGCTCCTATTAAATCATCAGCTAAAGTCTCAACAGAACCCTTGTAGGCTAGAAGGAGTGGGATGTGATGAGAGAAAAAATAACTGCCAACAAAGAATACTATATAGTACTAAACTGCCTTCAAAATGAAGGGGAAATGAAGACTTTCCTGGATAAACAAAACTGAGGGAATTCATCACCATTAGACCTGCCCTGAAAGAAGTGCTGAAAGGAATCCTTCAAGTTGAAATGAAAAGATGATGAATGGCAACACAAAGCCATACAAAAGTATAAATCTACCAGGTAAACATAAACATAGAGACAAATATAAAATCTGGAAGTATTGTAACATAGCTGTATAAATCACTTTTGAATTTGGTATAGAATTTTAAAAGCGAAAGCATGGGAAGTAACTAAAAATCTATGTTGATGAATACACAATATAAAAAGAGGTAATTTGTTTTGTTACAGTAACATAAAGAGGGCAGAGAAGTAAAGAAGTAGAGTTTTTATATGCAATTTAAGTTAAGTTGTTATCGGTTTAAAATATCTTGCTATAACTTTAAGTCTCTTTGTGTAGTTGCAATGGTGATGACAAATAAAATATGAATAGAATACCAATGCTCTTCAACTTATGATGGGATAACATAAGAATAAACCCATCAGAAGTCAAAAATATTGTAAGTCAAAATTGCATTTGATGCTGGCAACACAGCATACTGTCCCTGACTTATGTTCAACTTACAAATTTTCAACTCTACAATTATGCAAAATAATACACATTTAGTAGAAACCATAACCCCATTGTAAATCATAGGAACTTTTTATCTTATGCTGGGCTTACATTCAGGTACTGTCTGTATACACAAACAGAATTGAAAAGAGAATCAAAATATGTCAGTACAAAACATACAAGAAGGCAGCAAAGGAGAAAAGGAGCAAAAACCACTGGACAAGACATATTAAAATATATTGAATGTATTATCCATATATATAGACAAGTAACAAAACGAAAATAGTAAGTCCTTCCATGTCAGTAATTACTTTAAAGGCAAATAAATACCTCAGTTAAAAGAGATAAATGAGAAAACATAAAAACAACAGAGCAAGATGATGGAATAGAAGCCTCCAGCAATCATCTCCCCCAGGAAGGACACTAATTTAACAACTGTGTACACACAAATAAAAGAGCCTTCATAAGAACTAAAAATCAAATGAGCAGTTACAATACCTGGTTTTACTTCATATCACTGAAAGAGGCACCGAAGAGGTAGAAAAAAAGTCTTGAATAGCCAACACCACCCCTCTCCTAACCCCTGGCAGTGGCAGCATGGTGTGGAGAGCATTTCTGTGCACTGGGGAAAGGGAGATCACAGCAGTTGTGAAGCATTGAACTCAGTGCTGCCCTATTATAAAAGAAAACAAAATGGGACCAAACTCAGCTGTTACCCACCCAAAGAGGGAGCATTTAAACAGCCTTAGCCAGAGGGGAATTGCTAATCCAATCTCAGTGGTCTGAACTTCAGTTCCTGCAAGCCTTACCACTGTGGGCTAAAGTACTCTGGGGCTCTAAATAAACTTGAAAGGCAGTCTAGGCTCCAAGAGCTACAACTCCTAGGCAAGTTCTAGTGCTGAACTGGGCCCAGAGACAGTGGACTGAGGGAACATGCAACCTACTGAGACACAAGCCAGGGCAGCTAAGAAGGTGCTGGCATCACCCTTCCCCTAACCCCAGGCTGCACAGCTCACGAAAGAGGCCTCTTCCCTCCACTTGAGGAGAGGAGAGGGAAGAATGAGGAGGACTTTGTCTTGCATCTTGGATGTTGGGAATAATGCTCAAAATCCTAAGGAAATTGAACACTCAAACAAGGATTCTTAGCAAAGCAATTTTACTTCTGCACAGAGGGGTGCTTCTCCTTGGCCAGTCACCATGAGAGCACACTTGAACAAGAGCCTTTATTCCTGAAGCAAGTCCTGCCCCTGTACCCTTTCCCCATTGGCCATGGTCAGGCAGTACAATCTAAATTAACCCTGGTTGGCTAAACATTTGAACTTTTTTTCGGATAAGGAGGGTATGTAAGGAAGAGAGGCGAAAGGGGAAGGGGTGTCTGCAGTGAGCTAGAGAGCAAGTCTTCTTGCCAAATAAGGAAAGGAATGTGAGCTGGTACTGATAACACCTGGTACTGTGGCGTGTCTGGGCATGTGACAAAGACAGAAAGGAAGAAAAAAGAGAAAAGTGAAAAAGGGGTGGGGAGGTACTATGAATTAAAGAATAAAGGATTGATCAGGCTATTTGAAGAGAAACCTCATCATATCCCACATGGATATCAGCTCAACCACAGCAGGATAGGGCACCGTGAGGCCCCTTTTCAGGTCCTAGCTCCAGGATGATATTTCTTGACACACTCTGGGCCACAAGGGAACCCACTGCCTTGAAGGAAAGATCCCACTCCTGGAAGCATTCATCACCTGCTAACTAAAGAGACATTGTGCCCTGAATAACCAGCAGCAATACCCGGGTACTACGTTGAGGGACTTGGGTGAGACTTTCTGGTTCAGGTGAGACTCAGCACATGACTCACCACTCAGTCGTGGTGGCTATGAGGCAAGGCTCCTTCCACTTGAGAAAAACAGAGGGAAAAAATATGAAGGACTTTGTCTTGCACGTTAGGTACCAGCACAGCCACAGTGGGGTGGAGCATTAAGTGGTTTTTTGGGGTCCCCAGTTCCAGGACTTTGCTGGTGAATAGCATTTCTAGACCTATCCTGGGCCAGAGGGAAGCCCACTGCCCTGAAGGGTGAGTTCCGGGCCAGGCAGCATTCACCACAAGCTGACTGAAGAGCCCTTGGGCCTTAAAGGAACATTGGCGGTAGTCTGGCAATACTCCCTATAGGCTTGTGGTGGTGTTGGTCATGGGGTGAGACTCCTCTGCATTTGGAAAAGAGAAAAGAGTGGGAAGAACTGGATCTTGTAGTTTGAGTGCCAGCTCAGCCACAGTACGATAGAATGCCAGATAGATTTCTAAGGCTTTTTACTCTAGTTCTTGGCTCCCAGATGGCACCTCTGGACATGCCCAGAGCCTGAGGGGAACTTGCCATCCTGAAAGAAAGAACACAGGTCTGGCTGGCTTTGCCACCTTCTGATTATAGAGCCCCAAGGCATTGAGTGAACATAGGCCACAGCTAGGGAGTGGTTACAGCAGGCCTTGGGACTCAGTACTGTTCTGGCTTCAAGTCTGACCCAGCACAGTCCTAGCGGTGGTGGCCACAGGCTGCTGTTTCACTCCACTCCCAGCTCCGGGTGACCCAAAACAGATAGAGAGACACCATTCATTTGGGAGAAAATAAGGGAAGAGAACAAGAGTCTCTGCCTGGTAATCCAGAGAACTCTTTTGGATCTTGTCCAAAAGAAGTTATCAAGAAAGTATCTCTATTGGTCTGCAAGAACCAGAGTGTTACTGGGCTTGGAGTGCCTCTTAAAGCAGAAATAGATGCAATTACAACACCAAGTCTTTTTTAATATCTGGAAAGCCTTCCCAAGAAGGATGGATACAAACAAGCTCAGACTAAGAAGACTGCAATAAATACCTAACTCTTTAATGCCCAGACACCGAAGATGCATTTACAAGCATCAACACCATCCAAGAAAACATGACCTCACCAAATGAACTAAATAAGAAACCTGGGACCCATCCTGGAGAAAGGAGATATGTGACCTTTCAGACAGATAATTCAAAATAGCTGTTTTGGGGAAACTCAAAGAAATTCAAGACAACACAGAGAAGGAGTTCAGAATTATATCAATAAATTTAACAAAGAGACTGAAATAGTTAAAAAGAATCAAGCGGAAATCTGGAGGTGAAAAATGCCATTAGCATATTGAAGAATGCATCAGTGTCTTTTAATAGCAGAATTGATCAAGTAGAAGAAAGAATTAGTGAGCCTGAGGACAGATTATTTGAAAATACACAGTCAGAAGAGACAAAAAAAGAATGAAAAACAATATAGCATTCCTACATGCTCTAGAAAATAGCCTCCAAAAGGCAAATCTAAGAGTTATTGGCCTTAAAGAGGAGGTAGAGAAGGAGATGGGGTCGAAAGTTTTTTCAAAGGGATAATAAGAGAGAACACCCCAAACCTAGAGAAAGATATCAATATCCAAGTACAAGAAGGTTATAGAACACCAAGAAGATTTAACCCAAAGAAGAATACCTCAAGTCTTCTCTTAATAATCATTTAATAATCAAACTCCCAAAGACACTTAATAATCAAACTTTATCTAAAGGTAAAGAAAGGATCCTAAAAGCAGCAAGAGAAAAGAAAAAATGACATTCAATAGACCACCAATACATCTGGCAGCAGATTTTTCAGGGGAAATCTAACAGGCTAGGAGACAGTGGCATGACATATTTAAAGTGCTGAAGGAAAAAAAGCTTTTACTGTAGAATAGTACATCTGGTGAAAATATCCTTCAAATATGAAGGAGAAATAAAGACTTTCCCAGACAAGCAGAAGCTGAGGGAATTCATCAACACCACACCCATCCTACAAGAAATGTTAAAGGAGTACTTCAATCAGAAAAAAAAAAGAATGTTAATGAGCAATGAGGAATCATCTGAAGGTATAAAACCCGGTGGTAATAGTAAGTACACAGAAAAATACTGAATATTGTAACACTGTAACTGTGGTATATATGCTACTCTGATATTAATAGAAAGACTAAATGGTGAACCAATCAAAAATAATAACTACAAAAACTTTTCAAGACATGGTACAATAAATGTAGTTAGAAGCAACAAAAAGTTAAAAATGGGGTGGGGAGAAGTTAAGGCATAAAGTCTTGATTAATTTTCTTTCTGTTTGTTTATGCAAACAATGCTGTTATAGCTTTAAAATGGGTTACAAAATAGTATTTGCAAGCCTCGTGGAAACCTCAAACCAAAAAATATACAACAGATACACAAAAAATAAAAATTAAGAAACTAAACCATATAACCAGAAAAGCTCATCTTCACCCACAAAAAAAAAAGACAGGAAGGAAAGAAAGAAGAAAGAGAAAACTACAAAACAACCAAAAAACAAATAACAAAATGGCAGGAGTAAGTCCTTACTTATCAATAACATTGAATGTAAATGGACTAAAAACTCTCCAGTCAAAAGACACAGAGTGGCTTAATGGATTTAAAAAAAAAAAAAAAGGCCTGCCAGGCACAGTGACTCATACCTGTAATCCCAGCACTTTTGGCCAGGCGTGGTGGCAGGCGCCTGTAATCCCAGCTACTCAGGAGGCTGAGGCGGGAGAATTGCTTGAACCCGGGAGGCGGAGGTTGCAGTGATTCAAGATCATGCCACTGTACTCCAGCCTGGGTGACAGAGTGAGATAACACCTAAAAAAAAAAAAAAAAAAAAAAAAAAAAAAAAAAGCCCAATGATTTGTTGCCTACAAGAAATCCATTTCACCTCTAAAGACACGTGTAGACTGAAAAGACAAAGCTCACTATGTGATGATAAAGGGGTCAATACAACAAGAAGATATAACAATTTTAAATGCATATGCACCCAACACTGGAGCACCCAGATATATAAAGCAAATATTACTAAAGCTAAAGAGAGAGAAAGGCCCAGTGCAACAATAGTTGAAGATGTGAAAACCCCACTTTCAGCACTGGACAGATCTTCCAGACAAAAAATCAGCAACGAAACATCGGACATAATGTACACTATAGATCCAATGGATCTAACAGATATTTACAGAACATTTTATCCAACAGCTGCAGAATACTCTTTTTTTCTCAGCACATGGGTCATTCTCAAGAATAGACATATTAGGTCACAAAACAAGTCTTAAAACATTCAAAAAATTGAAATAATATCAAGTATCTTCTCTGACCACAATGGAGTAAAACTAGAAGTTAATAACAGAGGAATTTAGGAAACTATACAAATACTTGGAAGTTAAATAATATGCTCCAGAATAACCAGTGGGTCAATGAAGAAAGTAAGAAAGAAATTGAAAAATATATTGAAAGAAATGATAATGGAAACACAACATACAAAAACTTGATATAGCAAAAGCAGTATTAAAGTTTATAGCCATTAGTGCCTACATCAAAAAAGAAGAAAAACTTCAAATAAACAACCTAATGATGCATCTTAACTGAAAAAGAAAGAGCAAACCAAATCCAAAATTAGTAGAAGAAAAGAAATAATAAAGATCACAGCAGAGGTCAGGCGTGGTGGCTCACACCTGTAGTCCCAGCACTTTGGGAGGCCAAGGCGAGCAGATTATCTGAGGTCAGGAGTTTGAGACAAGCCTGGCCAACATGGTGAAACACCATCTCTACTAAAAATACAAAAATTAGCTGGACGTGGTGGTGGGTGCCTGTAATCCCAGCTACTCGGGAGGCTGAGGCAGGAGAATCACTTGAACCCAGGAGGCGGAGGTTGCAGTGAGCCGAGATCATGCCACTGGACTCCAGCCTGGGCAACTGAGAGAGACTCCGCCTCAAAAAAAAAAAAAAAATCACAACAGAAATCAATGAAATGGAAATAAAACAACACAAAGGATCAATGAAACAAAAAGTTGGCTTTTTGAAAAGTTAAACAAAATTTACAAACCTTTAGCCAGACTAAGAAAAAAAGCAAGAAGATCCAAATAAAATCAGCAATGAAAAAAGAGACATCACAACTGATACTGCAGAAATTCCAAGCATCATTAGGAGCAACTTTATGCCAATAAATTGGAAAATCTAGAAAGAATAAACAAATTCCTAGACACATACAACCTACCAAGATTGAACCATGAAGAAATCCAAAACCTGAACAGACCAGTATTAAGTAACGAGATTGAAGCTATAATAAAAAGTCTCCCAGTAAAGAAACAGTGGCTTCACTGCTGAATTTTACCAATCATTTAAAGAAGAACTATTACCAATCCTACTCAAACTATTCCAAAAAATAGAGGAGGAGCGAATACTTCCAAACTCATTCTATGAGACCGGTATTACCCTGATGCCAAAACCACATAAAAACACATAGAAAAAGGAAAACTGCAGACCAATATCTCTAATGAATATTGTTGCAAAAAATCCCAACAAAATATTAGTAAACTGAATTCAACAATACATTAAAAAGCTCATTCATCATGACCAAGTGGGATTTATTCCTGGGATGCAAGCATCAAGGATAGTTCACCATACACAAATCAATAAATGTGATACATCATATCAACAGAATGAAGGACAAAAACCATATGACCATTTCAATTGATGCTGAAAAAGCATTTGATAAAATGTAACATCCCTTCATGATAAAAAAATCCTCAAAAAAACTGGATTTAGGAGGACTATACCTCAACATAGTACAACCCATATATGACAAACGCACAGCTAGTATCGTACTGAATGAGGGAGACTGAAAGCCTATCCTCTAAGACCTGGAGCATGACAAGGATGCCCATTTTCACCACTGTTATTCAGTGTAGTAATGGAAGTCCTAGCTACAGCAATCAGAGAAGAGAAAGAAAAAAATGGCATCCAAATTGTAAAGGAAGAAGTCAGATTATCCTTGTTTGCAGATGATATGCTCTTATATTTGGAAAAACCTAAAGACTCCAAAAACAGGCAAAACTAATCTATGGTGATAGAAATCAGAGGTGGCTGCCTCTGGGGCCAGAGATTGAATGGAATGAAACAAGAAGGAACTTTCTACATCTTGGGGTGGTTATTACACAGATGTATATGGATGTAAAAGTCTAAAAATTCACTGAACTGCACATTTAAATGTTTGTGCCTTTTTCTGTATGTAAGTCAGAACTCCATAAAAATTTAAAACAAAAACACCAAAAAGCAAGCCATGGGATTTGACATGAAACAGGAAAAGGGAGTAAGAAAGGCAAACCAAGCCACAAGGCAGGACAAATTGCCAATAGCAGAAAATCAAGTTCGAGGACCTTAGAGACTTTAGTATTGAGACACTAAATGCTTCCTCCTAAATGAAAAGAGAAGAAATGAGGCTGGATGACTTTTGTGTTCGGTCATAAAAAGCCATGCTTGGTTCTCATGGGACTTGTGGCATTTGGTGTTTACAGACCATCGGAAATCCTCACTGCTTTATCTCTCAAGTTCACTGGTAGCTCTTGGAAAATCAGGAATCTGAGAGACTCACAGAAACTGCTGCTAATGATGCCAGCTGCCTGTGCTTTAGAGGTGATTTATAGAAGACAGGCAGCACTGCAAAACCTCACATTTGCATAAATTAAATCCACCAATTCTCACGTATCTGCCCCCTCTTCATGGCTAGAGAAGCAAGCATGCCTCTCCTTTTACCTTCCAAATCTAAGCAAGAACCTCTCCTTGGTTCATTATTCTCTCCTAGAATAATGATGGTAAAGAGTTACAGAAAATGCAGTTCTTAGGCTTTTAGAACCTCCAAAAAAAGAGGAGAGCATAGAAAAAGTGGAGATAGATGCTGATTGCAAAGACACCAGTGTTGCTCTTTTTAAGACTGGTATTTACTTGATTGCTGCTAAGGTTGAACGCTTTCCCTGTGCTTGCTTAGTATGTTTTCCATTTTATGGTAAACAATCAAAAAGCTGTTGTTTTAACAAAGTTCCATTTTTGTAGTGGAAGGAAAAAAAGCTTTATGGGTAGACTTGTGTTCTATATATACCTCGGGTGCTCTTGTTGAGGATAACTTAACTCAGGCTAGTAATAGACACTATAGTTCATGTGATACCCAAGCACACTGACCAGGAGGAATGCCACTGTTCCTAGTTACTGAGCAATTATCGCAAGCCAGTGCTTCACGCGCAATCGCATTTCATGTGTTTTATAGATGACGTGACAGATATAACATTTTTAACTATTTCCTTTTGCATTTCTCCACCTCCCAGCAGTTTAATTCCTTCCCTGGAAGCTTTTTTCCTATTCTAAGCTGGAGTGTGAGACTTGCTGTCTTGAGGAAGGGGCAGGAGGGATTCCATCTAGAACAAAGAAGGCCAGCTGTTAGGAAGAAGACTGAGATTAGGAAAGTCCCTACCAGAAGGAAAAGAAGGGGAACTCCTCCCCTTATGACTTGGTGAGGAAGTAAGAAAAAGAGGGAGAAGACAGGGGTTGAGATGCTAGAGTCCTGCCAACCCCACAGTCCTGAGGTCCAAATGCTGGGGTGGGGTGGGAATGGAGTTTAGGGATTCCTACAGCATAAGGGATCATGGCCTGTCTTCCCAGGGTGTTCATAGTCCACGACATCACAAAGAAACCATATTCAACCTGGCTTCTGAGCACTAGATCAGAAACAGTAAAGGAAATGAATGTCTTCAAAAACTGGTGACTGTGGTTAACCCTAAGGAAAGTAATGTCTGGGAGCCCTATAAATGAGACACTGAGACCTCTGAATTTTGTACCTGTAGATGCCCATGGCAGATAAATCACAAAAATATCCACAATTCTATACCCCCTCTTTGTATCCACACCTTTTGCAATTAGGCTTTGCAGTTCCCTAACAAGAGGCAAAGTCTATTTTCCATTCCTTGAATCTTGTCTGGTCTTGTAACTTGATGTGGCCAAAAGAATATGGCAGAAGTTTCCTTGTACCTTGCACTGTCTCTCAAAACTGCCCCTTTCATGAGAACAAGACTAAGTTAGTGTCCTGGAAGATGAGAGACCACATAGAGGACAGCTGAGGTACCTGGGTTAACAATCAGTCAACCGCAGTAACAAAGCCACCTAGCCAACCTGCAGCTGACCTCAAGTGCATGAACATTCCCAGCCAAAATCTGCTGAGATGAGAAGACCGAACCACCAAATGGAGCCCTGACTGAATTGTCAACCCACAAAATAGTAAATTAACTGAACATTTAGTTTTTAAGCTTCTAAATTTTGGGGTGCTTTGTTATGCAGCAATAGCTAACCAATACAATGCCTTGCCTATTAAAATAAAATTATTTGTAAGTAAAACTTTAGAAAAAAACAATAGCTGAGAAAGAAATCTGCATAGATGAGCAGGTGATTCAGAAATTCCCGTGTAAGAATGACATGGAAAGTACTGAGGGTCTGGTGGAATCATCTAGGCTTGTGGCCCTTTCAAAGAAGTTTCACTATATAGATCTCATTGACAGGAGAACAAGTAGAGGGAGTAATGGAATTGAGCAGGGGTATCAATGCAAGGCCTCAAAAGTCTAGAAAAGACCAGTCACAGACCCAGTGCAAAGTCCTTGGGGACCAGGCCAGACTAACCTCCTCATAGTAGACACCAGACCTCTGGGACCCAGGGGACATACTCAGATCCAAGGCCTGCCACCCTGTTGCTGGAGAATCTTCAGCTTCCTCTGCACCCAGAACCTTCTGAAGCATGAGGGAGGAAGTGAAATAATGAAAGGCTGAGTTGTTCTTGTACTTTTCCCTGAGTTAATTAAAAGACTGAGTTAACCTAAAAGACAATGGTGAAAGCCTATAGAGTGCTTACTCCACCCCACACATGCTACCACATTTTTATTCCTGTTTTACAGATGAGGAAACCGAGGCATAAAGTGGTCAAATGATTGTCCTAAGGTCACACAGCCAGACTGAGTAAAGCCAAGATTTGAACCCAGACAGTGTGGCTAAAGAGATTGCCTGGATTGCATGAATTGGCAAGATTAAGCTTTTCCTTCTTGATAGCCAGCACCAGGAGGCTCCTGAGGAAGTTCAGATCACTTACAGGAAACAAAGATGCCACAAACGCAAATGTTTGCACAATCTGAGTATGTTTCACTTGGACCCCAGGAAACAGAGGCTGAGAGAGTTACACATGATTATACTTTTAGGAATTAGGCCTGTACCCTCCCTGCAGTGCTAAAAGGAGGCCCCCATGGGGCTTGCTTTATAATAAATCCTTCTTCTTAAGCAATGTCACCTCCTCTACTTTCTGCACATCATGAATAATAATGGTTAATATGTTTAGCATTTACATTGTTCTGTGCCCTCACATTATTTCTCATAATCTTACCAAAACTGTTCTGAGGAGGGAACTGCCGTTGTTCCTACGCTGCAGATGAAGAAACAAAAGGCTCAGAAATGGGAAGTGACTTTGAAATCTTGCACAGCCAAGAAGAGGAAGATCCAATGTTTGCTCCAAATTCCACCCGATTCTGGAGTGCGTCCTATGACCTCAGTGCCCACCTCCCTCCCGGGCACCTAGGATGGAGCCTATGGCAAGGTTTTAGCACAGTGACTACAGGAATCACAGCCCAGACACAAAAGCAGGAAACCCTTTGACCGGGCTCCTTCCTATTGCACCAACAGCCTTGTGTTGCTGCAATGAAAACACTTCCCCAAGCAGCTGTGGCCAAGAGACGCAGAAACTGCCTTGTCCACGGGCCCCGCCTCAGACTCCAACACTCACAAGAGAGCAGAGGAGCCCCAAGTCTTGGGGACCACAGAAGATGCCATGTGCTCCACGATGTCGGCCCCCACCTGCCTGGCCCACTTGCCTCCCTGCTTCCTGCTGCTGGCACTGGTCCTTGTCCCCTCAGGTAAGTGGGGTCTAGGATAGAACAGGGTCCACCCCCGGCTGGTCAGTCCCTAGAGGGGCACTAAGTGCTCTGCCATGCCTGAAGAAGCTTGACCCCATGAAGATAGAGTAAAGAGGGGTCCACTGAAAATTTGCCTGACTCCGGCAGAGGGCACCCCCAGTGTCCCAAGAAGCAGCGTAGTGAAGTGATAAGCTCCCAGGCTCTGCGCTCACACCCACTGGCTTCCAGCTTGATTGCTCCTATGCCCACGTCAGATGCTGCAGCTCTTTTAGCCCCAGGAGCCTCTTCTACAAAACAGGGACGCTCATGGGACCTTTCTCTAGGGCTACTGTGAGTATTAAATAGAAAAGTGGTGAGGCTCAGCCCTGGGCCGGCTGCATAGTTTATGAGACCCACTGCAAAATGAAAACTGCGGTCTTTTGTTCAAAAAGTATTGAGCAACACAGCAGAGCAGTAAACCAAGCATGGGCTCCTTCTAAGCACAGGGCCCTGTGCGACTACATAGATGGCACAGCCATGAACCAGCCCTGGCTCAGCTTAAGACGCAGTAGGCTCAAACCTCACCACTAACCAGTTTAAGTAATTTCTTTCTGAGCCTCAGTTTTTCCAACTGTAAAATGGAGCTAAAAATAGGACCCACCTTGGGACTTTCTTAGGAGAATTTAACAAGATAATACCCATAAGTGCCTGGCATAACAAAGATTTGATAACTCTTGGCGATTATTATTATCATTCCCATGTTTCCTCTAACTCAGGGGCAGGCCAGGTTAGCTCCAGAGTCTTGAGACCCCTGAATATATAGCTCAGCCTCTGAGTCCAGAACTCTCTGATCTACCAGGCAGGGATACTTGGCTCTCAGTGGGCTCATTCCATCTCCTGCCCATCTGGGCCTCTGCTCCAGGCTCTACTGAGATCTAGATTCTGTCCATGACATCTTTGGTCCTCCGGGGTGGCCATCCCCAGGAGAGATCCTGGCAGAACCCAGGTGTGGGGTCGGACCTAGGTGCTCCCTTACTCATTGGCCGTATGACTCAAGACACCACTTCAATTCTCTAAGCTGATTTCCTCAATTCTAAGATGTGAATCATAATTGCTAGGTCTCATTCCACAGGTACTTTTGAGTGTCTGCTATGTTTTAGGCACTAGACTAGGAAATCAGAAATCTAAACTACTCAGAATAAAAAATATTCCCAATGATTGTTGCAATAGAATAGATGGAAAATAAGAGAAGTTGCTTAAACCAGTCAGTTGGAATGTTTGAGTCCAGCTGCATCTCAAGCTGAGTCAGGGCTGGTTCTTGGGTGTGCCCTCTATATAGTGGCACAGAGCCTCCTGCTTAGAAGGGCCCCATGCTTGGTTTAATGTTCTGCTGTGTTGCTCAATAGTTTTTGAACAAGGGACCTGCATTCCCGTTTTGCACTTGGCCTCACAAATTACGTAGCTGGCCCAGGATTGAGCCTCACCACTTCTCTATTTAATACTCACAGCAGCCCCGAGAAAAATATGAGTGCCCCTATTTTGCAGTAGAGGAGACTGGGGCTAACACATTTTCTATAAGGCTTTTAAAGGGAGCCCCATACAGGAACCATGAAAGGCAGAGGATGCAGATGGAAAATAGATGAGAAGGTCCAGCTCCACTGACAAGGCAGAGGCAAACCTCCTAGGACACCTCCTAAAGCCCAAGTGACAACACAGAAGGGGACTCAGAAGGGGAGAGGGAGGGAAGGGGTGTGGGCACCAGGACTGAGTCCAGGCTCCAGCTTCTTCCCTGGTGTTCACTTCCCCAGACTCACCCCTAGCTGAGATAAGACTTTCTGAGTGCTTCCTTCTTCCTCTCCTCCATTGCTTCTTTCTCCTCACACACGCAGGCTTCATCTTTACAAATAATTTATTTTTAACAGCTCTATTGAAGTGTAAGTGACATATATTAAACCGTACATATGTAAAGTACACAATTTGATAAGTTTTTTTTGTGAGTGCTGGGTGTATTTCACACTTGTGAAATCATCACCAAAATCAGCATCATGAACATATCCAGCGCCCAAAAGTTTCCTTGTGATTCGTCCTTGCCACTCCTCCTTGTCTCCAAAACAACCACGGATCTGTATTCTGTCACTATAGTTTGCATTTTCTAGAATTGTATATAATAAGGATCACACAGTTATACTCCTTTTTGGCTGGCTTCTTTTACTCCGCATAATTATTTTGAGATTCATTCATGTTGTTGCATATGTCAATAGTTCATTTCTTCTCATGTCTATCCATTGTATGGATAAACCCTTTCCCATTCACCTGTAGACAGACATTTGGGTTGTTTGCAGTTTAGGGCTATTATAAATAAAGCATCTATGAATATTCATGTACAAGTCTTTGTGTGGATATATACTTTCATTTCTCTTAGGGAAATATCTGAGAATAAAATGGATCATATGGTTGCCATACGTTTAACTTTTTCAGACACTGCCAAAGTGTTTTTCAAAGGAGTTGTACCATTTTACATTCTCATCAGCAATGTAGGAGGATGGCAGTTCCTACACCTCCTCACCAACACTTATTATGGTCAATCTTTTTAATTTTAGTCATTCTAATGGGTACATAGTAATATCTTACTGTGATTTTTTTTTTTTGAGACAGGGTCTCACTCTGTTGCCCAGGCTGGAGTGCAATGGCTTGATCTCAGCTCACTGCAACCTCCATCTCCCTGGCTCAAGCGATCCTCCCACCTTAGCCTACCAAATAACTGTGACTACAAGCGCACATCACTACACCCAGCTAATTTTTGTGGTTGTCTGGTTGGTTGGTTAGTTTTTTTGTTTTGGTAGAGACAAAATTTCACCATATTGCCCAGGCTGGTCTTGAACTCCTGGGATCCAGTGATCCGCCTGCCTCAGCCTCCCGAAGTCCTAGGATTACCAACCTCTCACTGTGATTTTAACTCCCTAATATGTAATGATGCTGAACATTTTTTACATCATGCATCCTTTTTGGTGAAGTGTCTATTCGACTCTCATTTTTTAAGTGTGTTTCTTATTATTGAGTTTTGAGAGTTCGTTATATATTATGGATACAAATATTTTGCCAGATATATGCTTTGCAAAGATTTTTCTCCTACTCTGTGACTTGTCTTTTTATTCTTTTACAAGTGTTTTCCGAACAGCAGGAGTTCTTAATTTTTATGAAGTCCAATTCATCAATTTGTCTTTAATGGATCATGATTTTGGTGTTACATCTAAGAAATCTTTGCCTAACCCAAAGTTACAAAGTTTTTTTCCATGTTTGCAGCTAGAAGTTGTATCGTTTAACATTTTATGTTTAGTTATATGATCTATTTTGAGTTAATTTTTATATAGTTTGAGATATAAACCAAAGTTCATTTGTTTGCACATGTATTTCCAATGGTTCTTGCACCATTGTTGAAAAAACTCCCCATTCTCCATTGAATTGTCTTTGCACCTTTGTCAAATATCAAATAATTATAGTTAGGAGCCATGGCATGCACCTGTACTCCTAGCTACTCAGGAGGATTGCTTGAGACTAGCAGTTTGAGGCTGCAGTGTGCTATGACGATCACACCCAAAATAGCACTGCACTCCAGCCTGGAAAACATAGCGAGACCTCATCTCTTTTTAAAAAATCAGTTGCCTCTATTTGCATGGACTATTTCTAGACTCTCTATTCAGTTCCACTGATATGTTTATCTATCTTTGTGCAATACCACATTGTCTTGATTACTGTAACATTATCTAAGTCTTGAAAGCAGGTGGTATTAGTTTTCTAACTTTATTCTTTTTCAAATGGTTTTGGCTATTCTATAAATTTTAGATTTAGTTTATCAATGCTAAAGTGAAGCCTGCTAGGATTTGAATGGGAATGGCATTGAGTTTATATATCAACTTGAGAAGAATTGACATCTAAGCAATATTGAATCTTCCAACATATGAACAGTGTGTACCTCTCTATTTATTTAGGCTTGATTTTTTTTATCTTAGCAATGGCTTATACATTTTCAGTTTGCAGTTCCTTTACATTTTTGGCTAAATATTTTCTATTTTTATAACATTGATGACTGGAAATTTTAAAATTCCAATTTCAAGTGGTTTATTGCTAGTGTATAGTAATACATATAATTTTGTACATTGATCTTTTATCGTCCACCTTGCTAAGCTCATTTATTAGGTCTAGTAGCCTTTTTAAGAAATTTTCATTTAAATTTTAATTATGTCATATGCACATAAAGACAGTTTTCTTTTTTCTTTCAAATCTGGATGTCTTTTATTTCCTACTACCTTTTTCACAGTTAGTACCTATCCTACAAAATTGAATAGAAATAGTAAAAACAGGCATCTTTGTCTAGTTCCTGATCTGCAGGGAAAACATTGATTTTTGCACCACTAAGCTTGATAGAGTTGTTGTAGGGTTTTCACAGGTGCCCCTTATCAACTTGAAAAACCTTCCTTGTCTTCCCAGTTTGCTGAGAGTTATTATTAGGAATGCATGTTCAAGTTTGAAAACTGCTTTTTCTGCATTCTGTTGAGATGATTATATGAGTGCATGTATATGCGTGTGTGTGTGTGTTAGTTTAGTAATATGGTAAATTACATTGATTGATTTTTGAATGTTAAACCAACTTTATATTCCAGGGATAAGCTCAATTTGATTATAATGTATTATACTTTCTAAATATTGCTGATTGCTGAATTCGGTTTACTAAAATTTTGTGTAAAATTTTTTATCTATGTTCATGAGAGATATTGATTTTCCTTTCTCGAAAGGAAAAGGCTTCGGTTTCAAGATAACACTGGGACTCATAGAATAATTAGAAAAGTATGCTCCTTTTTTCAATTTTCTAAAAGTATTTGTATAAAATTGGTATTATCTCTTTCTTAAAGATATGGAAAATTTGGCTGGGCATGGTGACTCATGCCTGCAATCCCAGCAGTTTTGGAGGCTGAGGCAGGCGAATCACTTGAGGCCAGGAGTTCAAGACCAGCCTGGCTAACATGGCGAAACCCTGCCTCTACCAAAAATATAAAAATTAGCCGGGCATGGTGGTGCATGCCTGTAATCTCAGCTACTCAGGAGGCTGAGGCAGGAGAATCGCTTGAACCTGGGAGGCAGAGGTTGGAGTGAGCTGAGATCACGCCACCATATTCCAGCCTGGGTGACAGAGTGAGGCCCTGTCTCAAAAAAAAAAAAAAGAAAAGAAAAGAAAAGAAAAAGATATGGAAAATTCACAAATGAAACTTTCTTGGATTGGACCTTTATTTCTGGGAAGATTTTTAATAACAGATTGAACTTTTTAATAGATAATAGGGCTAACCAGGTTGTCTTTTTCTTCTTGAGAAAGCTTTGGCAGTGTATCTTTTTCAAGGAATTTGTTCATGTTACCTAATTTGTCAAATATGTATGACTTGAAGTTTTCCATAATATTCTTTTATTATTCTATTAATAAGAGTAAAATCTGTAGTAGTATCACCAATCTTATTCCTTATTTTAATAATTTAGGTTCTTTCTGTGTGTGTCCCCTCTGTTCAATCTGACTAGAGATTTATCAGTTTTAGTGATCTTCTCAAAGATTTTCTTCTTCTCATTGATTTTTTCTGTGTGTGTGTGTGTGTGTGGTGTGTGTGTGTGTGTGTGTGTTCTACTGTATTAAGTTTCATTTCCAGCTTGATGATTTCCTTTCTTTCACTACTTTGAGTTTAGTTTATTGGCCTTTTTTTCTAGTTTCTTAAGGTGGAAAGTGGGTAATTTATTTGAGTCCTTTCTTCTTTCCAAATATAGGCATTTAATACTACAAACTTCCCCTTGCTTTAACAGAATCCCGCAAATTTTTATATTATGTTTTCATTTTCCTTCAGTTCAAAATATTTTCCAATTTTTCTTTTTTAATCGATACATAACATTTGTACATATTTATGGGGTTCATGTAATACTTTGTTCCATGCATAGGATGTGTAATAAATGAGTCAAAGTATTTAGGATATCCATCACCTCATGTATTTTTCATTTATCTGTGTTAGGAACATTTTAAGTCCTCTCTTCAAGCTATTTTGAAATCTACAATACATTGTTGTTAACTACAGTTACCATACTCTGATATCAAATGGCAGGATCTTATTCCTTCTATCTAACTGTATGTTTGTACCCATTAACAAATCTCTCTCATGCCCCTCTCCCTACACTCACTTTTCCCCACGTCTGGTATCATTCTACCCTCTGCTTTCATGAGATCAATTTTTTTAGCTTCCACGTATGAGTGAAAACATGTGATGTTTGTCTTTCTGTGCCTGGCTTATTTCACTTAACATAATGAACTCCATCTTCATTCATGTTGCTACGAATGACAGAATTTCATTTGTTTTTATAGCCAAATAGTATTCCATACTGGCCATCCAGTAGTGGTATTGCTGGGTGATATGGCATTTCTATTTTTAGTTTGTTGAGAAGTCTCCATACTGTTTTTCATAGTGGCTGTACTAATTTACATTCCCACCAACCATGTATAAAGTTTCCTTTTCTTTGCAACCTTACCAGCATATATTTGTGGTGGTTTGTTTATTTATTTTGTTTTTTTTTTTTATTGTTGCCTTTTTAACAGTCGTTCCAACTGGGGTAAGATGATATCTCATTGTGGTTTTGATTTGCATTTCCCCGATGATTAGTAATGTTGAGCATTTTTTCATGTGCCTGTTGGCCATTTGTATGTCTTCTTTTGAGAGATGTTGATTCATGTCCTTTGCCCACTTTTTAATGAGATTTTTTTTAACTGTTGAGTTGTTTGAGTTTCCTGTATATTTTGGATATTAGATTAGTCCCCTGTCAGGTGAGTACTTTGCAAATATTTTCTCTCATTCAAGAGTTTGTCTCTTCACTGTGTTGATAGTTGCTTTTGTTATGAAGAAGCTTTTTAGTTTAATATAGTCCCATTTGTCTATTTTTGTCTTAGTTGCCTGACCCTTTTGAGGTCTTAGTCATAAAATCTTTACCTATACCAGTGTCCTGGAGTCCCTTCCCTGTTTTCTCCTAGTAGTTTTTATAGTTTTAGGTCCTACAGTTAGATCTTTAATTCATCTTTAGTTGATTTTGGTATATGGTGAGAAATAGCAGTCTACCTTTATTCTTCTGCATATGGATATCCAGTTTTTCCAGCACCATTTATTGAATGTGTATTCTTGATACCTTTGCCAAAAATCAATTGGCTGTAAATACATGGATTTATTTCTGTGTTTTCTATTCTGTGCCATTGGTCTATTATACCATTGGTCTATGTATTCTATGCCCTTGGTCTATTATACCAATACACATCCCAATCAAGAAGAAATTTACAAAATCCCAGAAAAAGAACACAAAATATCGATACTAAGGAAGATCAGTAAGATACAAGATAATTCTGAAAAACAATACAAAGAAATCAGAAAACACTCCAAGACATTGCTCTAGGCAAAGGTTTTGTGGCTAAGACTTCGAAAGACAGGCAACAAAGGCAAAAAAAAGACAAATGGGACTATATTAAACTAAAAAGCTTCTGCACTGCAGAAAAATAATCAAAAGAGTGAAGAGACAACCTCCTGAATGAGAGATAATATTCACAAAGTACCCATTTGACAAGGGACTAATATCTGGAATATACAAGGAACTCAAACAATTCAACAGTTAAAAAAGCAAACAAACAAATAAATAATCTAATTAAAAATGAGCAAAGGAAAGGAATGAATAAACATTTCCCAAAGAAGACATACAAATGGCCTAGAGGTATATGAAAAAATATGCTCAACATCACTCATCAGGGAAATGCAAATCAAAACCATAATGAGATATCGTCTTATCCCAGTTAGAATGGCTATTGTTAAAAAGACCCAAAAAAAGGCCAGGTGCTGTGGCTCGTGCCTGTAATCCCAGCACTATGGGAGGCTGAGGTGGGCAGATCACCTGAGGTCAGGGGTTCGAGACCAGCCTGACCAACATGGTGAAATTCTGTCCCTACTAAAAATACAAACATTAGCCAAGTGTAGTGTCATGTGCCTGTAATCCCAGCTACTCAGGAGCCTGAGGCAGGAGAATCACTTGACCCCAGGAGGCGGAGGTTGCAGTGAGCTGAGATGGTGCCACTGCACTCGAGCCTGGGTGACAGAGCAAGACTCCCTCTCAAAAAAAAAAAAAAAATGATGAGGATGAGGAGAAAAGGGAACTCTTATACACTATTGGTGGGAATGTAAATTAGTACAGCCACTATGGAAAACAGTATGGAGATTTCTCAAAAATCTAAAAATAGAACTGCCATATGATCCAGCAATCCTAGAACAGGTATTTATCTACAGGAAAAGAAATCAATATATCAAAGGAGTGCATGCATTTCTACGTTTATTGCAGCAATATTCACAATTGCAAATGTATGGAATCAATCTAAGCGTCAATCAATGGATGAATTGATAAAAAAAATACATATATATAGTGTCCCCAAGCACACCCACAATGGAATACTATTCAACCGTGAAAAAAAAATAATGAAATCATGTAGTCATTCACAGCAACACGGATGGAACTGGAGATTATTATGTTAAGTGAAGTAAGCTGTACTCAGGAGGCTGAGGTGGGAGAACTGCTTGAACCTGGGAGGCGGAGGTTGCAGTGAGCCGAGATAGTGCCATTGCACTCCAAAAAGAAGGAAAGAAGGAAGGGAGGGAGGGAGGGAGGGAAGGAGAAAGAGAGAGAGGAAGGAAGGAAGGAAGGAAGAAAGGAAGAAAGAAAGGAAGGAAGGAGGGAAGGAAGGAAGGAGTGAGCCAGACACAGAAAGACAACTATGCAGGTGCTAAAAATGATCTCACGGAAGTAGAAACTATAATGATAGATACCAAAGACTAGGAAAGGTGATGGGTCTCAGGGAGAGGGGTTAAGAGTGAGGTTGGTGAATGGGTACAAACACACAGTTAGATAAAAGGAACAAATTTTAATGTTTGATAGCAGAGTAGGGTGACTATAATTCACAACAATGTATTGTTTTTCAGAACAGCTAGGAAAGAGGACCTGCAATGTACCCAACACATAGAAATAATAAATACTCAGGTGATGGATACCAGAAAAAAAAGAAACTTACAGTAGTAAACTCACATTTCTCCACTCCCAGTCTTTATTCTATCGATGTCATAACTTCTACATATACATGTGTTAGAAGCCTCACAATAGAATGTTATTTTTTTTTAAAATCAGTTTGGGGCCTTGCTTTTAAGATTTGTTGGGTGGACCAGAACACTTCTTTCTGGGCTGCATCTCTCTTCTGTGGACTTTCCCCAGTGCCCTGACAATCATGGGTTTTACCAGTTTGGCTGGTGGGAACAGGCACCATTCTTAGCCCTGTGCTGAGTGATGGGCACAGTCCTGTACGTGTGTGTGAGGAAACTCCCTGAGGCCAGGGAAAAAAACAGGAAGGATCAGTGATAACAGATCTGACTAGCTCAAATAATGTTTGAGAGTGGATGTCGCTGAATTTCTTGGAACTAAGGACATCAAGGACAGAAGCAATCCCTAGGATTCAACATGCGGTTATCACTTGGTCACAATTGTGAGAAAGTTATTCTTGGTGGTTAACAGCACATGCCTAGCTGAAGATAGGTAGAAATAGAATTTAGAATTCCATAAGTCTTTCCTAGACCCTCTTAGAAGGAAATGTTTGCTTCACCTTCTTACTCTCCTTGCCTCATTCACAACTGAGAAACACCATGATATACTGCAAACAAATGTGTGGAGTGAGACTGAGCTATTCACAAAGGCTGATGGGAATACAGACAAAAAGGAAACTCGGGGTACAAAGCTGCTGACCTTGAGTTGAGCAGAATCTTAAGTCACCTGATCTGAGTTCAAATCCTGGACACGATATCTACTGAATGCATGGTTCACCTCATGTTTCTTTACCACTGTGAGCATTCGTTTTCTTTCTCATCTCGAAAATGGAGATTATAGGCTGGGCATGGTGGCTCACACCTGTAATCCCAGCACTTTGGGAAGCCAAGGGGAAGGAATCACTTGAGCACAGGAGTTTGAGACCAGCCTGGGCACCATAGTGAGACCCCATCACTACAAAAAAAATTAAAAAATAAATAAATAATAAATGGGGAAGTTTTTAAAATTGAGATTATAACAGCATCTACCTCACAGAATTCTTAGAAGGAATACATGTGATGATGTTTGTTACCCAGAATATCCATGGGAGGCCTCAGCCCTCTTTCTCTGTATCCACTTTGAGGATAAACTCAACAGTTCAACCTATCTTCAAAATAGCCTCACTTCATAACACATTAACACGAACTGCAGTCTGCTGATAATTCACATGAGGCAGAAAGGGTATTTACACTGAACCCCGCAACACACAAACCTATGTCTCTGAAGGGTGGCATTTGAAGATTAATAGCCAGAGCTCCAGAAACAGGTTGAGAGGGCTTGAATCAAGCCTGTCACCCTCTTACTGAGTGATGTCTGAGTGTGCCAGAGCTTCCATAACAAAGTAGCATGGCCTGGGCGGCTTGAACAATAGAAATGTAATTTCTCACAATTCTGGAGGCTGGAAACTGAGATCAAGATGTCTGCAGGGCTGGTTTGTCTGAGGCGCCTCTCCTCAGCCTATAGACGGCCACCTTCTCCCTGTATCTTCACATGGTCTTCCCCCTGCATGCGTATGTTTAAATTTCCTCTCCTTATAAGGACACCAGTTGGGTGAGATTAAGGCCCAACCCCAATGACCTCATTTTAACTGAATTACCTCCTTAAAGACCCTATCTCCAAATACATCACATTCTGAGGAACTGGAGGTTAGGACATCAACATGTGCATTCGGGAGACACAATCCTAGCCGATGATCCTGGGACAGCTGCCTAACCTTTCCGGACCCTCAGTTTCCTCTGTCAAAAAATGGGAATGATGCCATTTACCTTACAGAAGCATTGTGAAGAATAAGTGACATCATGCACGCAGGGCCCAGCACACGGTGAGCACTTGAGTGTTATTTATTGTTTGTAGGTTTGCCATTGCATAGCTCAGTTCTCTCTCTGCAGCCAGCCATCTCATCCCCTCTTTCCCTTCCCTGTCTAATGACACTCCTGTCTTATCCTGGGCCATTGTTCTTGGCCAGATAATGGTTTGATTGTTTTAAGCTTGTCATTTAGGGCTCCAAGTCCTTCCTGCCCAGTGCAAGGTCTTTCTTCCTCTTTTGTAGATGCCTCTGGGCAGAGCAGCAGGAATGACTGGCAGGTGCTACAGCCCGAGGGCCCCATGCTGGTGGCAGAAGGTGAGACACTTCTACTGAGGTGTATGGTGGTCGGCTCCTGCACTGATGGTATGATAAAATGGGTGAAGGTGAGCACTCAGGACCAACAGGAAATTTATAACTTTAAACGTGGCTCCTTCCCTGGGGTAATGCCCATGATCCAACGGACATCAGAACCACTGAATTGTGATTATTCCATCTATATCCACAATGTCACCAGGGAGCACACTGGAACCTACCACTGTGTGAGGTTTGATGGTTTGAGTGAACACTCAGAAATGAAATCGGATGAAGGCACCTCAGTGCTTGTGAAGGGTAAGGATCAGGCCCTGCAGACCACACATTTGCTCCAGTCTGTTTCCCTGCACAGTCACCTTTATCCACTGTATCATGCTGTATCACACAAAATTTCAGTGGCATACAACAATACATATTTGTATCTCTACATGCACATTTACATGTGGCTGGGTGGTTCCACTCCTCATGTCTCATGCCAGAGCCCAGGCTGGAGAGGTAGCAACTATGTGGGGCATGTTTTCTCATAAAGATGGCAGAAGCAGAAGCCCAGTCCCAACTCTTCAAGTACACCTCAAGCATCTACTCACATTATGTCTGCTAACAGCCCACTGGCTAAAGCAAGTCACATGGCTCAGCTCCAAGTCAAGGGACAAGGAAGAATAGTCTTCCACCATGCACCAAAGGTAAGAGTGTGGATGTACCCTATTACAAGCACAGAGTCAAAACCTGAGGCTGATCATGTCATCTACCACACTCCCCAAGTACTCAATCATGGCATCTGTAAGTCCACCTATGGTGACCTGAATACCCAAATCCTGGGCCTGTCATTGAATAGTAGTTCCTTCTTAAGTCAGTTACCCTGGCTCTACATGCCTCAAGTGCTTTGCTTGAAAAACAGGCAAAACAATTTGTACTTCAAGGGTCATTCGGGTGATTAAATAGAATGGATGCTTGTGGAAACACCCCATAAACTGGTGACATGGAGAGTATCTGTACGTGGGAGTTCATTTTAACTTGATGCCAGATTCAGGAAGGCTTCACTGGCTTCTTCCGAGCTATGATGGTGCCTCCTCTGTAGTCCTGCCATCTTCTGGGTTTCCGCCTCTGGGCAATTTTTTGACCATCTCCACTGGAAGACAGAGAATGGCTTCAGGGCCGGGCACTTGTGTCTTCCTGAGTTTCATGTTCCCCAATCCTACCATTGGTATGTAGTAGGTACTCAGAGCTTTTTTACTGAATGAGTCAACTGGTGAGTAATAAAGAAAGCAGGAAGGAGTGGCTGAGTGAAGAAATCTGGAAAGAAGGAAGGGAGGGAAAACACCAGGTAGGAAATGAGTGAACGATGGAAGAGGAGAGGGAATTCAACAAGGACCTCCTCTTTGGCTTCAGGAGCTGGGGACCCTGAACCAGACCTGTGGATCATCCAGCCCCAGGAATTGGTGTTGGGGACCACTGGAGACACTGTCTTTCTGAACTGCACAGTGCTTGGAGACGGTCCCCCTGGACCCATCAGGTGGTTCCAGGGAGCTGGTCTGAGCCGGGAGGCCATTTACAACTTTGGAGGCATCTCCCACCCCAAGGAGACAGCGGTGCAGGCCTCCAACAATGACTTCAGCATTCTTCTGCAAAACGTCTCCAGTGAGGATGCAGGCACCTATTACTGTGTAAAGTTTCAGAGGAAACCCAACAGGCAATACCTGTCTGGACAGGGCACCAGCCTGAAAGTGAAAGGTGAGACAATTGGTTTTGGACTTGTCGGGAGAGCGGAGCAGGTATTCAACAGGAATTTTTCTACATGTCCCGAACAAGCCAGTTCTTCACAGCCTCCATGTCTTTACATAAGTTTTTCCCTCTACCTGGAATGCTTTCTCCTTTTCTCTGAAAACTCCTACTCATCCTTCAAGGCCCAGCACAAATGGCCCTTCCTCTGTAAAACCTTCTCCTCCTCTCAAGCAGAGTTAATTTCTCCCCATTCTGGTTTCCACAGAACTCTGTATAGATCATTAATAATTCAACAAACATTGGCCAGGCACCGTAGTTCACTCTTGTAATCCCAGCACTTTGGGAGGCCAAGGCAGGTGGATCACCTGAGTCAGGAGTTCAAGACCAGCCTGACCAACACGGTGAAACCCCGTCTGTAATAAAAATACAAAATTAGTCAGGCGTGGTGGTGCATGCCTGTAATCCCAGATACTTGGAAGGCTGAGGCAGGAGAGTCTCTTGAACCTGGGAGGCGGAGGTTGCAGTGAGCCAAGATCGCACCCTTGTACTCCAGCCTGGGCAACAAGAGCAAAACTCCGTCTCAAAAAATAATAGTAACAATAATAATTCAACAAACATCTACTACATGACTGTTGAGTGTCCTGCACTATGCTAAGTACTGCAGACACTGCAATGAATTAGACAGGTCCATACCCTAAACGTGCTCCAGTAGAAAGTCTAACTTTGTCCTTCATAGCTGCAGGGTTTGACTTCTAGCCCATACCCACATAGAAACTGGCAGACTCATCCCAGAGATCCCAGCTCCTGGGACTTAGGAAGTGGTGGGAGATAAAGATAAAGGGAAGTATGACAAAGCCTCTCTCCCTTGCAGCAAAATCTACCTCTTCCAAAGAGGCAGAATTCACCAGTGAACCTGCAACTGAGATGTCTCCAACAGGTGAGCGTACCCACCTCAGTGGAGTCAATGAGTCCCCCACAGGCAAGGGGGCCATGAATGGCTTGGTCATGGGAAGGGAGCAGTCCCAGACTCCTGGGGCTAACCTGCCACCAAGAATGCTCCCAGGACTTCATCTCAACTGCAGAACTAGGACCCCAGAGAACCATGTTATAACAGCTCAGCTATAACGAACTTTCTCATAGCCAGGGCCATGTAACTGTTTAGTGGGAAATGTTGTTTGAGAGGTGGTGAGCTCCCTGTGATTCTGAGTGTAGGGACACACTGTGAGGCTATGCACAGCGACACTGGAGAACATGGCTTTGTAGCTAAGCCTCCTGGATGGAGCCCCTTCCTAGTGTAATGGGCAGGTTCTCGCCCCTTGAGTCTGGTATCTGACTCTATGAACTAGCGGGGAGGGGACAAGAATCAGAGACCCTACTTCATGGGGTTGTGTGTGCACTCAAGGAGATCACACATGCCAGGTGTCCAGAACTGTGCCTAGCACATCTCATGTTAACATTCAAGGACTCTCAGTATCTGGTGGGAGCTTGTGATAGATGTGGTCAGATTTGCCTTCCTGATGCTCGGCCCTGCTCCTGCCATTCATGGGGGCCAGACGGCCTGGGTCCCGTGACTTCTTTAACACATGTGGCCCTGAGAAAATCATTTCCCCACTCTGGGTCTGTCTCCTTATCTATAAAAATTGGATCACTATCCTACACTGTAGGATTACCTTGAGGATTGCATTAGGCAATTAGGAATAGCAGAGGTTAGGGATGTGACTGAGATGATTACAGATGCAGGCAGAATATTGGGCAACCGTTCTCTGGGCCCAGGGCAGAGGGAAGGGTGGTCTTTGATCTCCTCTTTCAATGTAGAAAGGATACAGCTCCAGAGGTTATACAGCAGCAGGATGTGACCTTGCCCATGGGCAGCAATGAGGCGTGGGCTGTGGGGCCCTCACCACGGGTCCCGCCTGAGCTCTCTCCTGTGCCTCCCAGGCCTCCTGGTTGTGTTCGCACCTGTGGTCCTGGGGCTGAAGGCAATTACCTTGGCTGCACTCCTACTGGCCCTGGCTACCTCTCGGAGGAGCCCTGGGCAAGAAGATGTCAAGACCACAGGCCCAGCAGGAGCCATGAACACCTTAGCATGGAGCAAGGGTCAAGAGTGAGGGGTCAGCCCCAGAGTGAGGACCCTCTGAGTTGGAGAGGAGCCAGGGCTCCTCAACCATTTCCCTACCTCCAGTCCCAGCCTCTAGGTGCCCCCAGGCCTCATGACAAACTCCTAGATCCCTACATCTGGTTTTGGTCCACCTAGTGAAATTCCCTTCTTTGCACCGGGCTTCCCTCTAAAATGTCTCCCTTTCTCTTTTTGGCCTGTTCAAGACCTCCTTGCTTTTCAGTCCCTGGCTCAGTCTCTCCTCAACACCCTTGCCCCTGCTGCAGCCCTTTCTGGTGCGCCCTGCCCCTTTCCCCACCTCGCTACATCCTTCTTGGCCTCCAACATCCAACTCAGAGTCTTCTTCCCAGGAGATGTCTGTAAGAATCTCTGAACTCAACCAGCCAGACCATCTGTGCCCCTCCATCTACACCTTTCTCCCCACTCCTTCCTGCCTTCCTTCCATCCCCCTCATGGCTGGCTTGGGCAGGTATAATATTAGAATGCAGGTTCAGCAACTATAACAAAGCTCTTAAATAACAGTGGCTTAAACCAGTGGAAATCAACCAGAAAGTTGACCATCAGCAGGCCAAGCAATACAGAGACTCCCTGGTATTGAGACCCAGGATTCACTGATCTCATTGCTACCAGGTCCACCTTCTAGGCAGCCAGACTGGAAAAGAGGGCAGGAAAGGGGAGCAGGACCCTCCCCTTTAAGTGCACAGTCAGGAACTTGGCCACCTCACTTATCTCTACTTGGCTGGAATGTGGTCACATGGTCACACCTAGCTGCAAGAAACACTGGGAGATGTAGTCTTTATTTCTGGCAGCAATGCGCCCAGCTGCAAGTTTTCACTAGAGAAACCAGATGGCAGATATCAGGGGATAACCAGTTATCTCCACCACAGCAGCATACAGACAGCCTCTCACCTGCCCTGTGGGACACCTGAGTTCAATGCCCAGCTAGCTAGCCAGCACTTCTTCCCACTATCACCTCCCCTGGGGCAGCATGATGTGGGGCAGTAGTTCCCAAGATGAGTGATTTTGCCCCCACTGGACTTTTGGCAATGTCTAGAGATGTTTTTGGTTGGCACAACCTGGGGGGGTGCTACCACCATCTAGTGGACTGAGAAGCCCTGACATGGGGAAGAGTGTGCATGCCCAGGAGTCAGACACACCTGCCTTTAACCCTGAGGCCTCTGCCTCCTCCCTGTGCACCCTCAGTGACTAATCAGAGTCCCTTCCCATCACGGAACATCCAGGATACTAATGTGGACTTCTCTGCATTGTGTAAGAACCAATTCAAGACCAGGCACGGTGGCTTATGCATGTAATCCCAGCACTTTGGGAGGCCGAGGTGGGTGGATCACCTGAGTTCAGGAGTTTGAGACCAGCCTGGCTAACATGGTGAAACCTCGTCTCTACTAAAAATACAAAAAATTAGCCAGGCGTGGTGGTGTGCACCTGTAATCCCAGCTACTTGGGAGGATGGGGCAGGAGAACCGCTTGAACTGGGAGGCAGAGGCTGCAGTGAGCTGAGATCGCGCCATTGCACTCCAGCCTGGGCAACAAGAGCAAAACTCCGTCTCAAAAAAAAAAAAAGAACCAATTCAATTCTGCATTTACTGAGGGCCTACTATGTGCTGTGTGCACTGCATGCACTCGATACATGTAAATTCCCTGTTCTCTTTCCAGGCAAACATTTATTAGCACTCACTATAGCGGCGAGTAGATGAGTCTAGATGTTTTTCATTACCACAAACAGAAAAACAGCTTGAACTAAGCCAGCGACAACAGTAATTTAGTCTGAGAATGGAATAAATTATTGAATTACCAGACATTAGAGAGGGTAGGGAAGGTAGGCTGAATACTAACCCCCACCCCAAAGATATCCATGTCCTAATCTCTGGAACCTTTGACTGTTACCTTGTATGGCAAAAGTAAAAATAAAAAGAAAAAAGAAAACAAGACTATACAGGTGTGATTAAATTAAGAATCTTGAGATGGGGGTGGGGGTTTACCCTGGATTATCTAAGTGAGCCCTAAAAGAGATGTTAAGTATCCTTACAAGAGAGACACGGATGGATCTTCGATGTAGAAGAGAAAGCAATGTGACCACAGAGGCAGAGTTTGGAGCTATGTGACCACAGGTTAAGGAATGCCAGCAGCCACCAGAAGCTGGAAGAATCAAGGAAGAAATTCTCCCCCTGGAGCCTCCGGAGGAAGTGTGGCCCTGCCAATACCTTGATTTCAGACTTCGGGACTTCAGAAATATGAGAAAATAAATTTCTGTTGTTTTAAATTATCAGGTTTGCAGTGATCTGTTACAGCGGCCACGGGAAGCTGAAACAGCAGGAAAGCATGGAGGTGGTTCTCCACTAACTGGAGGTGGGTCCCACCTGCCCTTGCAAGCCCCCTAGCCCTGTAGGGCCCTGCATGAGCTGGTCCCTGCCACCCCCTCTGACCTCATCTCCCCAGATCCTGTAAGCTGACTCTTCTCCAGCACCCCTCTGGACTTTGACCACACAAAGCTCCCTGATTCATTCAAGTCTCTGCTTAACTCTTACCTTTAAAGGCCTCTCTGGACCACTCTATCCAAAAAAGCACCTCCATCACTCTCATTCCTGCTTGCCACTTAAGTTTTCTTCATAGTACTTACTGCTACCTGAAAACATGTGTGTGGTGTGTGTGTGTGAGCGCACATGCATGTGTGTGTGCACCTATGTGGGTGTGTGTGCATGCATGTGTGCATCTGTGTGCCTGCGTGTGCACGTGTGTGTGCGTGTGTGTGCGTGTGTGCATGTGTGCGTGTCTGTGTGTGCGTGTGTGTTTGTGTATCTGCTTCCTTGATGGTTGTTAGTTGTCCCCACTAGAATTTGAGCTCCCTGGGGACAGGAACCTAATGGTCCACTATTGTAGCCACCCTCATTGAATCCTGAAACGTGGTTGAAAGCTGACTCTGTGCCAGGCCCTAATCAGTGTGCTGAGAAAGAAACAGAAGTCTGCTCTCTCAGAGCTTACCTCCTCCCGAGAGAAGACAGACAATGAGCAAGTAACCCTAGGTGAGTAACAGGCCCCACTATACTGAGTGCTGAGGGCCTTCACAACGCAGGAGGAGGGGGAAGGAAGTTGCCAGAGCAAAGGGGAAGTGACACTATTTTATGCAGGGTGGACAGAAGAGGCCTCCTGATAAAGTGACATTTGAGCAGACACCTGAAGGAGGTGAGGAAGAGAGCCCTGCAGATACCCAGGGGAAGAGCTGAAAAGTACAAGGAACAGCGAATGCAAAGGTCCTGAGGCAGGAGCGTGCTTGACTTGCACAAGAACAGCAAACACCAAGCAGAATGCCTGGCCTGTATTAGACCCCGTAAACGCCTGAACTACATACATGGCAGAGATGAAGCACACAGTCTCGGAAATCTGGCTGTGCAGGTTCAAATTCCAGTTCTCCTACTTATCTCTTGGGTGAGTTTGTTTCTCTCAGTTTCCTTGTCTATAAACTGGTAATAACATGCGTGTCTCCCTTATTAGGTAGTTTTGAGGCTAAAATGCATTGGTATATGTGCAGCACCTGGCACATAAGAAGCCCTAAATAATTATTATAGTTACATTATTTCATTAGGCTATTGTTATGCAATTCTAACTATAAACTGTAGTCACTATCCTCCCCATGACAAGGAGCATGGCAGCCTACAGTGCCTGGGCCCCTTATCGGGCAACTTCAGAAGTCAGATGACCCTACTCACCACAGACTCAGTTGTAAAATCCTATAGAAAGTTGGCCCTGCTTGGATCCAGGGACTTATAGGGACATGGCAGGGGAGCAAGGTGGAGGCAAGTCCACTAAAGAAGACAAATATAACAAAAGATGAACAATTTAAGGCCCTTCGTGGGGACTCTGGGAAACCTGCTGACCACAGATAGAAAGGGTGGGGAATGGATGGGAGACAGAACTCCTCAGCCCAGCCCTTCTGCTGCTTTGGGGCCCCAGGCATTGCACAGGTGAGATGACCCACCAAAGACAGAGCAGGGGGCATGCCACAGCCCCCACTAAGGGCCAACAGGCCACTATTACATGTCCTGCCTGGGCCTTCAGATCTGATGCCTTGATGTCAGTGACTACACTCCAAGATCCCTGAATCAGGGCATCCGTTTCTCTCCCTCCCCTTCTGTTTTCTCCTTCCTGCAGCTCTTCTTTAGCTCTTTCCTTCCCTTCCCATGGTTCTTGTCCCATGCTCTTCCTGCCCCAAGGAACCCCCATCAAGGCTGCCAAAGTCCCAGACTTTGTGACTGCTCCCTGTGAGAGATAGGTCTATTCACGCCACTCTCCTCGGGCTCGAGGACCCTCCATTTCCCCCTGCAGGTTAGACCTAGAGCTGGAGGAAGAAAAGGAGCAAACACCATTTGACAGGGGCTTCCTATAACCTGACAACCCAAGGATGGCAGCCCTGCTGCATGCAGTATTGGGGTGGCGGTATCGGGGTGCAGTGAGAGGAGGTGCCAGCCAGGTCAAGAATAGTCCGTCCTCTCCACAAGACACACCGCCCAGAGAGCAGCTACATGTCATTGGCCTGAGAAAGTGGGGAATGCCAGGCCTAGTCAAGCACATTTCTAAATTCTATCTAAATGGCACTGATTAATGGCACTTTGCTACACAGATCATTCTCAACCTTGCTTTCTGACTCAACATTTGAGTTATATCCAGGTTGGTTACCTGTAACTCTAATTCATTCATCTTCAGAACTGTATAGTATTCCATTGTATTAACATATTACATTTGTGATTTCTGTTGATGGATGGAGACCTTAGTTGTTCCAGTTTCTCGCTATCCCAAACAGAGACAGTTTCACTGTGTCTCCTGATGCATGCACAAGTGCACACACCCACAAGTAGAACTGGAGGGTTATACAGGTTCTGTGCTTCTTCAACTCCACTAGATTGGCCAAATCATGCCCCAATGCCATTAAGCCAACATATACTGCTGTTAGACACAGGAAAATTCCTGTTGTTTCAGGCTTATGCCAATATTTCCTATGGTCACATTACAGGGAAGTGCGGGAATCTTCAGTTCTTGTCTGCTTGGAAGAAAGATTTCAGCCAAGAGACACACAGCAAAGGTGAAGTAGCAGAGTTTATTGAAGAAAGATAAAGTACGTTCCTAGAAAGGAGTGGGCTGACCTGGCTGGAAAACAGCATCAGGCAAAAAACAGCAGTAGCAGTGTTTATTTAAAGAGACAGTACACTCTGAAAGAACGAGCCAGCAGCAGCTGGTGCTGGGGGACCCTCTTTATGAGAATCTTACATGATTATTCGTGCAGGGGCATGAGGGAGCGTCACTTACAATCATGTTTTAGGTGGTCCCCCTGGCTGTGAATGTTGTGTGTTTGTACGCGCTAGTAAACACATTGCCTGTCTCATTAGCATTTAAAATCTCCACTCAGGGGTGTGTTTTGTTGTTATTATTATTATTTTTTGAGACAGAGTCTCGCTCTGTCACCTAGGCTGGAGTGCAGTGGTGTGATCTCAGTTCACTGCAATCTCTGCCTTCCGGGTTCCAGCGATTCTCCTGCCTCAGCTTCCTGAGTAGCTGGGACTACAGGCACGCACCACCATGCCTGGCTAATTTTTGTATTTTTTTAGTAGAGACGGGGTTTCACCATATTGGCCAGGCTGATCTCAAATTCCTGACTTCGTCATCCGCCCACCTCGGCCACTCAAAGTGCTGGGATTACAGGCATGAGCCACTGTGCCCGGCTTGTTATTATAATGAGCAAAAGGCTACTGTAGGGCGAGTTACTGGAGGAGTGCACATGCTCGTCAGTGGGAAAGTCCCTACCATGGTTATCTCTGGGTAAGGCCTCATAAGTCCCCTTTAGGGCCAGAGGAGCCCAACCACAAGGCCAGAAGTTGCCAGTGTAGCCATTGTCTCTTTGCTGGCCGCCAGTGGGTGGCGCTGACTGTCAGTGAATGGAGTCTCCAGGACTTCTTTTCCCAAACGCTCCCTTGCCTGCTTATTTCTGGCTATCTGCCTACTCTAACAGTCAGACTTGTAAATGTTTTACCAGTTGGATAAGGCAAAAGGGAATCTCATTGCAGTTTTCATTGGTTCTCACTGCTGACTAATGCAACCAAGCATTAGTCACCGGCTGGCAGTACTGTTATTTTATTATTATTGTCATTAGTTGAAGATGTTGTGAAAAGAGAGACAAATAGTCCCAACTTTGCTGAGGCAGTGGTAGTGTTGTTATTATTATTATTATTTTTTTTTGAGACAGAGTCTCGCTCTGTCACCTTTTGTGAAGAAGAGTGGTAGAAGAAGGCAGTGCTGAGGCTGAGGTAGTAGAGAAGGGTGAGTGGTACCGGCAGCTTCCATGTATAGGGGCCTCTGGAAGGTCTGAATGTCAGCTGAGAAATCAATCATTTGCTCCACCTAGCAGCTCCCCTGGCCCCCTAAGCTATAGAGGGTTTAGCGCTTAGGGGACTGGAGTAGGGGGTCAGAGGAGACACCAGTCCTGGGTACACACAGCTCCTGCCCAAAGTGAAGTCACCACCAGTGAGGACACGGCAGAGGGGGTGCCAAAGGAAGGCTGGGGTGGGGCGGGAGGTGGTGGAAGATAGGATTAAAGGGAGGGGCTGGGGTGAGACTGGAGTGGGAAGGAAGATGGAGATGAGCCCGGAGGGGGCTGGGGGTGAAATGGAGTGAAAGTGGGCTTTGGAGGGTGGGGTGCATTTAGTACTGAGGGTGGAGTTAGAAGGGAAAGTGGGGCGGGGTGGGTCAGGTGCTGGTGGCGGATCTGTGAGGTAGAGGTGAGGCTGGAGGTGGTCGTGGTGGTAGAATTTGGGGATGGGGCTTGGGTGGGATGGGGCTGGAGGTTGGGGGCTGGTGTGGTTGGACATAGGAGAGTGGAGCTAAAGCTGAGCCTGCAGCACCTCCTTCTCTAGTTTTGTTAAGGACACTTAGATAAGTGTTATGTAAATGTAGTTTCAAGTTCATGCCCTCACATCCCCTGCCTTAAACTCCAGTTGGGTCATCTGGAGCTGCTTCCAGAAACCAGCCATAGGAAGTGACCAGCACAGTCCTGCAGTCTAAGGAGAGACAGTGTGGTGTAGCGGTTAGAAGCAGACTCAGGAGCTGTGCCATACCTGGATTCAAAACTCTTTAGAAGTCTAGGTTTCCCCATCTGCAAAATGGAAATGATAACAATAGAACTCACTTCATAGGGTGCATGAGTTAGTGTATCTAAGGCTCTTTGCAGAGTGTCTAGGGGCATAGTAAGTGCTCAGTAAACACTAGCTGCCAGGTAGTGTTATGGGAAAGGATGCCCTCAAGTCCTCTAGAAGAGGGATCAGGGACCCTCTGGCCGAACAAAGAGCTTTCCCTGATGGCACAAAAATGAAGAGGGGGGGTGACAATGAGTTTCAATGACTCCAATACCAGCCAGGGAACTGGACCTTGAGGAGCTGATCGCCTGCAGATCTTTAAGCTGGGGTTAGTCGTTGTCAGTTTCCAGGGTAGAAAGACCTTACTGGTTGCCAATCGTGAGGTCCAGAGTGAGCCTCTAGCTTCTTGGACTTCCTGGAAAGTTGGGGTGCATTTCGAGTTGACACAATGATGAAAGGGGTAAGTCCTAGGGACCGGGGCTGGTCCTGGGTGGCCTTGCAATAGAAAGGAGAGTCTCACACCACAAAGAAAGGACCCTCCTCCCATGCCTCCTGCCAGGGCCTATTGTGGCTGCAACCATGCTCCTAATAACCTAACCCAAGCCCTAACTCGTTTGTCATATAAACTTAAAGGATTTCTTGCACAGTGTTAATAAGACACCGAATTTTCCAGGAAAGCAACTATTGTGTCAATTGAGGGAAGACTGGACTTTGTGCTGTTCATAACCTGATTAAGAGGGGTTTTGACTAAGCCTGGGCACCTTCTCAAGGTCTCCTTGAGAAAGGGACACCTGAACTGAGAGCTGAAGAATGAGCAGGGGCCGACAGAGGAAGAGGAAGGGAAGAGTGTCCCACGGTGGTGTTGGAAATTAAAGCTCGAAGTCTCAAGGAAAACCAGCACTGAAATAAAAGATTTTTCAGCAAAGCCAATTTACTTCTGCAGAAGGGTGCCACTCACACATCTGGTCTTCAGGAAAGCACACCGAACAAAAGAGAGAAGGGGTTTTTATCCCTAATGCGGTTAGTCGCTGCTTCTGTGTCCTGTTCCCATTGGCTGGGGCTGGACTGCGCAATCTAAGCTAATCCCGATTGGCTAGTTCAAATGGAGCAGAAATGTGGGCTACAGTGGTAGGGCAAGCGGTTTCGGCAGGAAGAAGAGTTTCCGCGGGAATGGCAATTGTAGCGAGGGTATCCAAGGGAACAGATGTGAGTTATAGATTAGGACCCGCGGGAAGGTTGTTTACCGTAACTAGGGGTAAGGAGGTACAAAGAACAAGGAAGTTAGGCTTTGAAAATAGAGAACAAAGAACAAGTAAGCTGAACAAGTAAGTTCCTCTTTGGAGAGGCAAGAGGGCAAAGAAGCTGAGGACCCAGAAGACAGGATTGTGCCTAAGAAAGTGGCCTTGGAGCAGAGGCCCAAAGAAAGCGGGGAGAGCGCCTTGCCCATCGGTAAGGGAAAGGTGCTCCAGGCACAGAAGCAGCTAATGCAACGGCCCTGAGGCAAATGCAAGATAACTGGCAAGTTCCAGGAACAGCAAGGAGGGCAAGGCGCCTGGAGCAGAGGAAGCTAGCGGATCCCTTGATGAGAGGGAGGAACTGGCCCATCTCTCATGGGTCCTGCAGGCAGGCCATGAGACTGTCTTTTATGCGGGGCGAGATAACGAGGCATGGACGTGTTGTGAGCGGAGGCCTAGCCTGTTCAAGGTCTGAATTTTTACCCCTAGAATGTAAGAAGCATGGGAGCAGGGACTTTGTTTTGCTCCCTGCCATATCCACAGCCCTAGAAAAACGTCGGGCCATTGATAGCTCTCAGTAAATGCTTGACAAGTAAGTGAATGAACGAATGCACAATTAATGAAATGAGGGCTGCGTCAATGAATAACTGGGAATCTGACTCCTGCAGGGAGCCTTCAGCCCACAGGTGTATGTAAGACCCGCCCCGCCTCTCATCCTTCGGGCTCCCACCCCCGCCGTTAGGCTGCGGTTCGCGCCGCGGTCGCCAGAGGGCGCGGAGCGGCGGGGCTTCCCGCACGGAGGGCTTTGCGTGAGGCACCGCGTGGGGCGGGGCTGCGGGCGGGCTCCCAGCTGCTGGGCCCTCATCGGCTGGGCCTCGTCGACCGGCAAGCGGAACGCGGCAGCGGGGCTGGGCCTGTGCGGCGGCCGCCGGAGCGCTTTGGAAGGCGCACGGGGCGAAGATGGCGGCGGAGCGACAGGAGGCGCTGAGGGAGTTCGTGGCGGTGACGGGCGCCGAGGAGGACCGGGCCCGCTTCTTTCTCGAGTCGGCCGGCTGGGACTTGCAGGTAGCGCCGCGCGGCGGGCTGTGTCGGGTGGGCCGGGGACTGCTGGGAGCGGGCGCCTGGTGCCTTAAGCCCGCGGCGGCCGAAGCGCACAGTCATCCCCGCTCTACCGCGGCCCGACCCAGGCCTCATGGTCCCGGGACCGCTTGTCACGCGTCGCCTGCTCGGCTTGGGAGTGGGGGAACGCGGGCCAGCCCCAGCCAGTTCTGCCGTGCCAGTTTCACCCTGCCTCGCCCGCTTGCGGCGTCAGCGAGACTTCGGGCGCTGCGGCAGCCGGCGAGGAGAGGGAGCGCCTGGGGGCGTGGCTGCCGCGCCGAGTATCTGCTGGAGGCCGGGCTGGTCCGAGTGAGCAGCTCTTGGGTGAAGCCCCACTCGGGACTAGGTGGCCGCTCATTTCCACTTCCGAAGTCCAGCCCGGGAGTTGACCGCCGCCCAGCCTTCCTAATTGCTGGGAGAATACCTCTGGGGTGGTGGCGCAAGGTTGGAGCTTCTTCACCTTGCGTAGTTAACTTATCTGTAAAATGGGAGTCTCGTGGAAATTGCTGTGTAGTTCATTGGCACGTACTGAGTATTCACTAAATACTTGCTAAGAAGACTTAAGCTTCACGAGGCAGGGATTTTTGTACACTGATGAATTCCCAGTGCCTGGAACAATGCCTGGCACATAATAAGCATTCGGTAATTAACTGTAGAAAGAATTGCATAAATATTCTTGGCCAGCTTCGTCTTAGGTAGATGATGACGGTGATGACTAATATTTATTGAGTACCTACCATGAGCCAAGCGCTGTTCTGACTGCTTTACATGTCTTTTGTCATTTAACCTTCGCATTTTGCAGCTGAGATTAAAGAGGTTAAGTAACTTGCTCAAGGCCTCACTAGCTACCAGGCAGAAGAGGTAGAAGTGGAACCCAGTTCTGTCTGATTGCAAGCAGACAGAGCCCAAGCTTTAAACCACCATGTGCCAAGCACTTTACATAATATGATTCGTTGGATCCTAGCAACACTATGAGGTAAAGACTAGACCCATTTTATGGATGAGGAATTGGAAGCACAGAGGGCAAAGAATTTGCTCAGGGTCACATAGCCAGTAAGTAGCGGGGTTGGAATTTGAACTGAGTCTGCTGCCAAACGTAAATTACTCCCCAAACATAAGAATTCGGTAAAGCATCACACCTAGATCACACCTAGACACAATGGGAAGCCCCTATGCTGGGCAGAAATAAAAAGTTTCTACCTGAAAGACCTAAAAGCACACAGTGTTGTGACCAACAGATCTTCTGTCTCGTTCCCCTCACATTGTAGTGGGGAAACTGAGGATCATGCATGTGACTTGCCTGGCAGGAACAGGACTTGAATGTAGGCTCCCTGAGAATGCCAGTTCACTACATGGCCTGAGACAGCACACTGCCTCCCAGCAGATTACTTTTATCCCTTGACAGCTCACTGTCTCCTGTGAAGTTGGTGACCCTGAGGACAGAGGCCATGTCTATTTCATCTCTGTGACCTCAATGCTTTCTTGTGTTTGTGCAAAGCAAGTGATTAGTGAATGCCTGTCCGTTGAGTTGGTGACAGAGATGTCACAAATGACCAAAGGATTCCCATATTCCTTCTGTATGTGTAAACCTAAGATGCGAGTATGCATAAATCTTAATGGATTATCTCATCCAGTGTGCAGGTTGGTGAGACAGGTACCCCCATTTCACAGATTAGGAAACAACTTGAAAGAAAGGAAAAGTAGCAACCTGGACTGACTCCACAGTTCCTGACTCCGGGCTGTACTGGAAGCGCTTAAGAGTGAGGGCCTAAGCACACTAGCAGGGATGGAACCTGGCTCCTCTCTTTACCAGTTGTGTAAACTTGAACAAATTTTTTTTTAATCCTCAGTGCTTCTGTATCAACTATAAAATGAGATGATAAGAGTACTAATAGCATAGAGTTCTTGAGGATTAAACAAATTAACGTATGTAGAATGCTCAGAACAACCTGGCATGTAAATGCTCACTAAATGTGTGCTACTTTTACTAGATCACGTTTCTTCATAAAATGAGAATAAAGAGTGTCTTCCACCCCAGCCATTCTTACTGCCTTCTTTTCACCTTAGTGGGTGGAATTTGTTTCAGTTGACACGAAGACTAACAGCTGAGCTGTTAACCTTCTGGTCTAATTTTCTTTGGCCCATGGATGCAAGCTACCTTGTAAGTGTTGGCCATGTCTGTATTCCTTTGTGCTCAAAGGAGATGTGCGTTAGGTGAAGGCCTGTTTAAGGGTCCCAAGGTACTACCTCTCTGTTTCAGATCGCGCTAGCGAGCTTTTATGAGGACGGAGGGGATGAAGACATTGTGACCATTTCGCAGGCAACCCCCAGTTCAGTGTCCAGAGGCACAGCCCCCAGGTAAGGGCCAGCTTCAATTATCGCTACATGAGTGTTTCCAGCAGTGAAGAGGAGCTATTTTCTGACCAGAGCGTTCAGGCCTGGGTGTGTGGACCAGGTCTGAATGAGAAGGTTAGACTGAGTCAATGGGTAGTACTTCCCAGCAGGCCTCAGTCATTTCCTATACAGAGATGCATGACTTTTAACTGGGTGTGGTTTATGGTTCAATCCTGGGGGAAACCACAAACCTACTTTTAAGACTTTTACTTATGTAGTATGAGGAATGACCACTGCAACTCTAAAGTTTTTAAGTAAAAGCCAAAAAACTTCCTTTCAAGGGTGCTATAGATGTGAAAGTTTAGGCGAAATGACTTAGGAAAGCTGTTTTGATATTTTAGGATGCCCGTTACCTTATTAAGAAGTCTTGTACAAAATAAACCTGTGTAACCCACCCTTTGCCAAGTTGATTAGGGAGACCTTGTCTTACTAGGTAAAACAGTGTTAACCTTTGCAATCCCATTTGCATCCCCTGTCGCTGCCTCCCACAGCACCCACAGCAGATTACTCCTGTGCTCTGCAGAGTGAGACAATGCTGGTCTTCCAGGAGACAGGCAGGGGTGCTTCCTGTAAAGGTGTCTGAACCTTTACAGAGAGTGTGTAAGCAGAGGTGTCTCCCCTCTCTGCTTTCGCCTTATTGCTTCTACTCTCTAGTGTATGTTTTAGCCAGGAAATTTTATTTGGGTTTGAATTCAACCCCAGAATATAACCAACAGTGTTTCTTTGCCATGAAGTGGTAAATTATGTTTCTCTCTAAAGGCAACTGAGGTTTAAAATATATTTCCTCCCTTCGAAGAAGGAGCACTAACCCCAGATCTCATTGCTTTCTTCTTTCCCTAACTCCCATCCAGAGAAAAGAGGTAGGAGGAAAGTGATCTTGTAACTGTTTGCACGTGCTAACCTATGAGATGTTGGTGATGGCACATCTGGGTATTACTGCTTGGGACATGTTGTTAGGGTAAGTGCTGTTCTTGCAGCTGCTAGTAGAGATGGCTGATTTTCTGGGGTATGAGTCTTTGACAGCCACCTTAGGGTGTTGTTGGGATGTTGGCATGTCAGAATTATAGAGGGGGAGAGATTTAAACTTAGTCTCTAATGCCAGTTACATGTTTACTCCTTTCTTTTCTCCAGTAATCCCAAAGTTCTATTAAGGCAGTGGTTTATTAGCATGGGCCCAGGAGCCTGACTGCGTTGGTTCAAATCCCAGCTCTGCCACTTAAGTAAAAGCTTTGTGACCTTGGGCAGGTTACTTAACGTTTCAGTTCCTCATTTTCCTCGCCTGTCAAATGGTAATGATAGTGCCTACCACATGGGAGACTGAATGAGTTAATACTTACAAAGCAAATAGAACACAGCATGTGTTGTTATTATAATTTTAGTATTATCATTTTTAGCATTCATTCTCAATTGACCTGTTTTGTTTACTCTATTCCCCAACAAGTATGTACATTTAAGAATAGGCATAAAAGTGGCCAGGCGCGGTGGCTCACACCTGTAATCCCAGCACTTTGGGAGGCCGAGACTGGTGGATCACGAGGTCAGGAGATTGAGACCATCCTGGCTAACATGGTGAAACCCCGTCTCTACTAAAAATACAAAAAAAATTAGCCAGGTGTGGTGGCAGGAGCCTGTCATCCCAGCTACCCGGGAGGCTGAGGCAGGAGAATGGCGTGAACCCGGGGGGCGGAGCTTGCAGTGAGTCGAGATTGCGCCACTGCACTCCAGCCTGGGCGACAGAGCAAGACTCTGTCTCAAAAAAAAAAAAGGCATAAAAGTAAAAGAATCAAGGACATAGAGTTTAACATTAGAACTGAAGTGAGTAAAAAGACTGGACGCACATTTGGTCCAAGAGGCATTGCTTTATTGCTCTGGTTAAGGCTCAGACTTGGTAGTAGGCTTAGAAAAGAACTGAAGACAAGAAAAAGGGAGGGAGGAGGGCGCAGTGTGTTGCATGGTTTGTCCTTGTTGAGGAGGAAAGCAAATGCTAGGACTACATTCTCAGGAAAAACCAAACTTGTGCTAGCACCTCAGAGGAATTCTGTGTGGGGCCTGCCTCTGCTTTGACCTGGCAGTTGCAGGACACTTAGCCAGCTGCTGCCCTCTCCCATCCCCCACTTTTGACTTCTCACATACCCTTTTATGTTGTCACTGCTGCCTCAGAGCAACACCCAACTCTAGAATAAGGATTCTTAATATGGAGCCCGAGAACCCTAGGAGGAATCTATGAAATGAGCGTGAGAAGGTCTCTATTAATACCTGAAATTACAGGCAAAAGTTTGTGTACATGTTAGCAGGTATCTTTTGTGGCAAGAGAGTCCATGGCTTTTATGAGATTCTCAAAGGGCTGACAGACATAAAAATGTTAACCATTGCTATAGGAGACAGTTTAAACTCAGTAATAACAGCTGCCATTTATTGAGTATTTACGAGTGAGGCACTGAGTTAAGCTTTTACATGAACATCTTTTTAGTCCTCACAGCAACCCTGTGAGGTTAGTACTGTTGTTAGTACTGTTAGCACTGAGGTTAGTACTATTCCTATTTTACAGATGAGGACACTGAAGTTGGGTATCTTTCCAAGATCACAGAGCTAGTAAAACAAGGATTTAAGTGTAGGGCTGTTTTCTACATTCAGCATTTCAGCTCTCAGCCCCAACAATGTTCTGCCTCTTCTTGTGGACATTCAAAGTCCTCCAGAGTTTACCCTTGGACCCACCTTCCTAATCTGATTCCCTTTTCCTCATTTCTTAAATCCTTTGTTCCAACCAAACTGATTTCTTTGGTGCTCTAATTCTTCCTTATTTTTGGTTCTCCTGCTTTTGTTTGAGCCTCTCACCTGATCAGGTGTGCCCGCTCTCTTGCTTTCTGCCTATACAAATCCCATGCATCCTTCCATGTTTACCTCCATCCCCACTCTGCTGAGCGTGTTATTGCTAACCCTGTGACCAGGCTGCACGCCATAATTCTGTTCCACAGAACTCCAGTCACAACTATCACTCCTTCAGTTCTTTGACTATATCCATGTACTACTGGGTGGCATCTCTCCCACATTGCCCTGAACTCTTTTCCTGATATTTAACTTAATTTTTCTCCCCAAGTAAATTGTAAATTCCTGGAAGTGGGACGGCTAGTATTTCAGGAGCAGTCACCAAAGCTCTGCCATGTTTCTCACCTGTGTTCTCTTCTGATACTGTTCAACAGCTTTGAAATAGGTAAGGTGCTTACCATTTCGCTGGTCAGGATGCTAATTCTTAGAAAGGTCAAGTAACTTACAGCTGCTGTTACCACAGATTCAAGGCGAAGTCTGCCTAAGTCCAAAGCTGCTTCTGCTGCCACATGCTACCTCCCTGCCAGCACCTCCCACCCCTGTATGCAGGGTCAAGCAAGAGGTAACAGTTTCTTCCTTTTTTCCCCTCTTTCATCCAGCAAAAGTTGTACTTTAAACTTCCGGGAACTACGATTGTCTGATTCTCTAAAATTACACGATCCAACAAGGTAGCTACTAGCTATTTAAATTAATTGAAATTAAACAAACATTGTTACTCGTTTTCTCTAACCACATTTCAGATGCTTAATAGCCAAATGTGGCTAGTGGCTTCTCTGTTGGACAGTGCAGATAGAGCATTTCCATCATCACAGAGAGGCAGAGCTAGGGTAACCGGATTAAAAGCAGAAAATGTCATCTGATGAAGGAGTTTTGTGCCACTTCAGTATGCCAGAGTAGCCTGGGAGATAGTTCTAATATTGAAAAATTGAACTTTCTGAGATATTTAGCCAATTTGTAGAGACCATAGGACAAAAGTATTGTGCAATTGCTAATATCCCTAGGACATCCATGCCATAAGGTAACTGAAAGCATTACTCCAGACAGTGGTTCTGAACTTGAATATATGTCGGAATTACCTCAGGGGCTCCTTAAGGCTAGATTGCTGGATACCCCTTCCAGAGGCTCTGATTCAGGAGAATTAAGAGGGGGCCTGGGGATTTGCATTTCTGACAGGTTCACTGTAATGCTGATGCTCCTGGTCCATGACCACACTTTGAGAACTGCTACTCAAGAGTAGTACTTAAATGTGCCACACCATGCAAAAGACTTTCCGTGCATCAGTACCCCACCTGCACACAGAAAGCCCATAGGTTGGTGCTGTGATTGTCTTATTTACATGTGAGAAAATGAAGGCTTTGAGAATTTAAATAGCATGTCCAAGATCCCAAGGGTAGGAGGCAGAATTGGGATTGGAATCTGGTACATGGATACCAGAATCAATGTCGGATACCATCAGAGTCTGGGTGTATGAGTTTTGGGGGAAAGAAACAAAGCCATAGCAGAGCAAGTGATTTGCCCAAGCAAGTGTACACACATATATTTGAAAGTTTAACAACAGGGAGATAGAAAATATTTTTTTCATAGATGCTCATCCTAGCCTAGTCATTGGAAGAAACTTTAGGCTGAGCATGTATGGAAAATTCCCTTTGGGAAGATGAATGAGTGGAACTAGTACTCTCAGGGTACTAGTACAGATCTCATCACTTGGATCCTTTTGAACCATGTCATATCAAGCATCAAGGAATGCCCGGCAGACTGTTCTCAGGAGCCAACTCATGCAGGGAGCTTGTTTGCTACATTGATTGGTTTTTGTCTTCTCACTTCTAGTTGATGGATCCTCAAAACTCTTCTGTCCCCTGATTGTCTCCTTGAAATAAATCTTCAAGACTGAACTGGAGCTTTCTTCCTAGTAAACAGCTCATTAAAGCCTCACTAAACCTGTATTACTCTCTGTTAGTCTTTTCTCACACTGCTATAAAAAACTACCTGAGACTAGGTAATTTATGAAGAAAAGAGATTTAATTGACTCACATTTCCACAGCTGTACAGGAAGCATAGCTGGAAGGCCTTAGGAAACTTACAATCATGGTAGAAGGCGAAGGGGAAGCAAGCACATCTTCACATGGTGGCAGGAGAAAGCATGTGTGAAGGGGGAAGTGCCAGACATTTTAAAACGATCATATCTTGTGAGAGCTCACTCACTATCATGAGAACAGCATGAGGGAAATCCACCTGCATGATCCAGGTCCCTCCTCCAACACTGGGAATTACAATTCAACATGAGATTTGGGTGGGGACACAGAGCCAAACCATGTCACCCTCTTTGTCCCATATTATATGGAAGCTGCTTTTTTCCCCTAAGAAATACAGAATTTTTTTAAATCTTGATAAAACTTGTCTTATGATCCTTGAAAAACTTAAGCTTGTTCCTTGAGGACAGATCTAAACTAGGTGGAAAGTGGCAGTGGAAGATAATTTCAGAGAGAATTAACCCTTCTCACGCTCATTTTTAGTTGTGCCCATCCCATACAACACTGCTTTTTTTCTAAAAATAAATACTTCTTGACTAACCTGCAGCAGAAGTACACTGGAGCTTGCTTTTCCTCCAGTGCTGTCACCCTCGTATTCATTCATTCCTACTTCTTGGCTATGTGTCCTTCCTTCAACTCTCTGGTCTCTGTGCACTGTGTATGCTGCTTTCCTATAATGCTACACCAACCCCTTTTCCCCAGCAGCCCCATCACCATGATTGTCCACTAGTTCTTTGGCAGTTGGTCCAAATATTTCATTTTTCTGGGAAGCCTTTCTTAGTTTCCCTGTTACTCCCCGCTGTCTGTACTACTTAAGTCTGTACTCATTTTTAGTTGTGCCCACCCCACACAACACTGCTTTTTTTCCTAAATATTAATAAATACTTTCTAGTTTTTATTAAAGCCAGGGCAGCTTAAATTGGGATTCCATTTTACCTCATGATAGGACTTTCTAATTTATACTCAATCTGTGTGATCTTGAAAAAATAAATGCCACATTATTTTATGTGTAATCTTAGGGGATTAACCTTTCTCCACATAACGTCCTCCTCTCGCCTACCAAAAATGTAACCTCAGTGTCTTCACCTCCTTAGCAGCTGGTGATGAGGGTTACCTTTCTTAATGCTCCCTGAGATCATTTTGCTCCTTTCTGTGTCTCCAGTGATAATAGAGTGACATCCTTCAGAGACCTCATTCATGACCAAGATGAAGATGAGGAGGAAGAGGAAGGCCAGAGGTGAGTCTTCTAGAGGGGGTCAGGGGGACAGTTCACAGGGAAGTCCAGGGTAATGTGTAAATCACCTAGAACAGGACCTGGTAAACATGTTTGGTTATTGTTAGCCATTACTACTGTGGGCTGGTCTGTGTGGGTTATATCTTAGGAAGTCTCTTCTACTCCTTGTAGCTTAGAAGTGACCCCTGTTCCGTTACTTAATGTATTTATTGAGGAATATTAGGGGAGGGAAACAAGGAAAAGATCTAGCAGTCCCACTTTTTGGTATTGACTAAAAAGATTTGAAATCAGTTTGTAAAGAGGTGTCTACGTTCCCGTGCTCATTGCGGTGCTCTTCACAGTAGCGAAGTTATGGATCAGCATAAGTGTCTTACCAGCAGATGAATGGATAAAGCAAATGTGGTGTATATACACAGTAGGAATACTACTCAGTCTTTAAAAAGAAGGAAATTGTCATTTTCAACAACATGGATAGAGAACATTATGCTAACTAAAATAAGCCAGGCACAGAAACACAAATAAAGCATGCTCTCGTGTGGAATCTAGAACAATTCCAATCTAGAACAATCGACAGAGTGTGGTTACAGAGGCAGAAGTGAGGGCATAATGGGGAGATGGTGGTCAAAGGGTATAAAATCTTAAGACAGGAGGAATATGGTTTGGGGCTTTTTCTTTTTTAGATCTCTTGCACAGCATGATGAATATAGTTAATAAAACAGCATTGTACATTTCAAAATTGCCAAGTGTTAATTTCAAGTGTTCTCACCACAAAAATTTTGAGTATTTGAGGTGATGAATATGCTAACTAGCTTGATTTAATCCACTTCATATTGTTAAAGCATAACATCACTTTGTACACCATAAGTATATACAATTATAAATTGCCAATTTACAATTTTAAAAAATAAGGAAAAGAAAGAAAAAGTTATTCATTATATTACAGTCCATACGTAACCAGGTATCCATTTTTTGGTATATTTCTTTCCAGCTTTTTCTTTTTAATTTAAAAAACATCATGTAAAAAACAGAATAATAGGCTTATAAGTGTATATTTCCCCCAATAGACATGTACCCATCAACTATTTGTTTTTAACCTTTAGAACATTATAATAAAAATATCCATTATGGAAACTACAGACTAGTATAATGAAAAAGTCTTAAACTCATCTACCCTTTGGTAACTACGGTTGATATTCTGGCATATTTCCATCCAGTCTTTGTTCTGTATATAAATATGGTTTTGCTGGATCAATGCTACATCTCAGACGTTTCCCCATGTCCTTAAAATCCTTCATATGCCTTTTCATATGCTATAATAATAATCCATTATATGGGATGCCTGACATTTAGATTTTTTTCAATGTTTTACTACTGTAAATATCAGTGCTATGAACATTTTTGTGGATTAATTAACCACATTTCAGATTTTTTTTAGGATAGTTTTTAAAAATGGAAATACCAGGTCAAGGGCATGCATATTTTTAAGGCTCTTGATCACAGGCTCCCAGTTCTGAAGCCAGGGCTTTGAGATCCCTTAATAAAGACTTTATAGTCCATTTAGCAGAACTTCATCTACCTGGAATGAACAAGAATGAACGCCAGCCTCATTTCATGGGTTTTGGTTCTCCACAGGATCTGCCTCGGTCTGTCAGACATTCCTAAGGAAAATTGTATAATAACTATTTCGGGAATGCAGTTATCTCATCATGGTCAGTCTTTGGGGAAGTGGGCTGAGAAATTACATGTGTTCTATTCTCTATTTTCATTCCTATTGTGACCTTCACACCGACTCAAAACCTTCCTTTTAGATACTTCTGGATATAAAAATATATGTTAATTTTGGGGTTTCACACTCCTGAGTGAAAGGCAGTGTCATCAAGTACGTGAATGCCCAGCTCCTAAATGTCTTTCTCGTTCTCCTCCCACCCAGTCACGTCCTCCAGGCAGTGACCTTCCTTTATTTCACATTCCGCTTACTTCCTTGACCCCTCAGCATTTCAGACCTGAAAGGACACTGGTACTGTTGTCCTTGTCGGGGCCTGTGGCTTTGCCTCTCATTCCCTGGTGAATGTCAGGAAATAGAGGGCTGAGACTAATTTTTATAGGTTCTCAATTTTTCTTGCTTGGGGACAAGCTGTTGACTTAGCTCTGAATAGGAGTAATAAGGAGGCAGTGGGCCAGGCTGCATGACAACTGGTTTTCAGGCCCATATAAAAAAGTACTAACTTTATTATCTCAAGCCATGCCTGGCCTATTGCAAAGCCCAGTGTGGGTGTCTTGGGGCTTGTATTTGAGATTGGAGCTTCTCTGACCTCCAGTACCCTTTCCTCAGGGGCCACAGTGTGTGTCACATGAATGGCAAGGTGAGGTGAGGCTTGGGGGAGCTCCTGGTGCTGTGTCACACCACCTTACCTGTGTGCATTACTCTGTGCTTGTTCTTTTGCATACATCTGCTGATTTGAACCTCACGGCTCTGACTTAAGGAGCAGGTAGGTAGGGCATGTGGTCCTTCCCTCCCGTTTCAAAGACAAGGAAAGTGAGTCACAGAGTAGTGCACTGGCTTACCCAGGACATACAGTGGCAGAGCCAAGACTGGAGCCTAGCTGCTTGTACTAACCATGCCAGTGCCACCATTAACCCCAAGTCACTAGTGGTAGCTACTTCTGACTATGACTGTAGTCACTGTCTCCTGGAGAGGAGCCTGGCCACCAGATTGATAGTCCCAGCTGAGACTCTCTCCTGAACTGATAAGCTGTTTTGCATGCTTGGAATGCCTTTCCCCAGTTTGTTCACCTGATAAACTCATCCTTATCCTCAAGATTCAGCCCAGAAGACACCCTTAAAGGAAGCCTTGGCTGTCCTTCCCACCCAGTGTTCCCTCACTGACTTCTGTTGCTGCTCACACTGCATTTTACCTGCTTGCCTCCTTCCATGTGTTCCCAACTAGCCAGTAAATTCTTTAAAGACAAGCATTGTACCCTTTGCCTCAGTGTGCCCAGCACCAACCTGGCACATGCTCTATTCATGTTTTCCATGAGTGTTTCATGTTAGAGGTGTATTTTGTACACAGGTTTTATGCTGGGGGCTCAGAGAGAAGTGGACAGCAGATTGTTGGCCCTCCCAGGAAGAAAAGTCCCAACGAGCTGGTGGATGATCTCTTTAAAGGTGCCAAAGAGCATGGAGCTGTAGCTGTGGAGCGAGTGACCAAGAGCCCTGGAGAGACCAGTAAACCGAGAGTGAGTATAAGGGTCATTGTCTGTGCCCACAGGACTGAGATTCCAGAACTGGGAATGCCACCTTCTTCACCCCGGTAGTGACTGATTTTTTTCTTTTTTTCATTTGCTTACTTGGTCTTCTGTGCGGAACACGAGTGTAGTTTATCTCACCCTTTAACGTGAAACCAAGATTTGGGGCAGAGTTTTCAGACCTACAGCCTATGGTCTAGATTGGGTTCTGCATACATGTTTTGTTTGGCCTATCAAATTTGACTGACTTAGTGTTTTATTTTGTTTTACTTGAATTAATAGTCATCTGTTTTATATAAAATCGGGATTTCTGTCTCCTTTGAGAAAATCAAAAAGTCTTTGATATTGTCTTGTACCCAAATTCCTACATGGTCACGGTTAATGAGAGTTTAGTAGCATCTGTTTCCTTTAGCCAGGCACTGCCCCTTCCAGCTCTTAACCCCAATTCTGGCCACCTAATTCATTTACCATACTGCCTGGGCATGTAGGCACTGAGTCTGATATCAGAGAAAGTGCATCTAGTAGCTAACAAGCTTGATCAGGAACCCTGTCCTCTTTCTTCCTCTTACCTAAGATATATATATCATTGTATCTGAGTAACCCTTGTACCATGGACCAACCCCTTAAATGTGTATGAACTTGTCCCTTATAGCCATTTGCAGGAGGTGGCTACCGCCTTGGGGCAGCACCAGAGGAAGAGTCTGCCTATGTGGCAGGAGAAAAGAGGCAGCATTCCAGCCAAGATGTGAGTGCATCCACCTTCCCATGAGGGAAGCTTGTGGACTGTTCTGCCATTTTTCTGAAGGGATTGGTTACATATTGTGCATTAACCAGCAGCCTCTGAAAGGGAAACTAACAGAGACAGTGCCCTTGCTGTGGTTCACGAACAAAGACGCTTACTGGAAAATCAAAGGAGGTTTCCTGGGTGCTGGGTGAGAGAGCTGGTGAGAACAGGTGGGGAAAGGGGATGGGCAAATGAAGGAGTTTTTTGAGCAGCCCATGGATCTCAGGCAGAGGTACAGTGTATCTGGGGTTCTCTAGTGATGCGAGTATAGCTGAAGAACTTGGTCTTCAGACCACCAGAGAAGACTTAACACCAATTTTTCTTTTCTTTTTTTTTAGTTTTCCTCATTGTCCACTACTTTTTAGCCCTGTGCATAGGGTCTCCTTCCCCACAAGTGTAATCATACACACAATTTTGAGTCTTTTTTATTCAATATTATACCACAAACATCTTCTTGTAGTCTTGTGATCATTAATTTCTATAATATGTTTTAAATCATTTTGGGTTTTATTCCAAAATAAAGTCAAGCAAGAAGAAAATAAAAATTTTATCCTCCGAGGCAGCTGCTAATGCATTGGTTTTTAGCCTTCTAGACCCTTTGCTGTGAATGTGTGTGGGAGTTGTTGTGAACAGAACTTGTAGATAACATTTTTAATGACTGTGGAATAGTCCATGAGCAAGATTTGCCATGGTAGTTTAGTCGGACACTCACGGCATACCAAGCACAAGCAAAGCGTCGATTGAGTCACCTGCCCAGAGCCATATAGCTAGTGAGTGGCACAGTCAAGATGCAACCTCAGGTGTCCTAAAACAAAACCCCTGCTCTTAGTCTGTGCTAGGCCACCTTCCTATTCTAGGTTAATGCTTATTTAGTTTGCTTGTTGAGTTGCTTGTGCACACATGTATATATGTGTGTCTCTATGTGTGTTTTAATAGTAGCAACACTGAGAAATAGTAAAAACCTGCTAATTTGCAAGTTCAAATTGGTATGCTTGCCAGATCCCTGGTAACTGTTTACTCCCTGTCATCACAGGTTCATGTAGTATTGAAACTCTGGAAGAGTGGATTCAGCCTGGATAATGGAGAACTCAGAAGCTACCAAGACCCATCCAATGCCCAGTTTCTGGAGTCTATCCGCAGAGGGTGAGTGAAAAAGCCCTCCTGTAGGTCCCAAATCAGTGAGTGGATAGCAGTTGGGAAAGGAGGAGGCAGAATGTTTATTATTTGAGGAGTAAATTGTTTGAAGCAGATTCAGCATAGTTGAGATACGGATTCATAGATCTGCTCCAAAAACCTTGTATGTCCATTTTTCCCCTTTGGGCCTGAGGCAGACCTAAGTGGCCAAATAAGAAATAGGTGTCGGCCATGGCTGAACAAACAAGAGAAAAGGTGGAGGCAGACAGGTAGCCACCAGAGTAGCCTGCTCCCTTTGGAGGCCCAGCGATTTTTCACCACGGGACTGAGAGGTTTCTTCTCCCCTTTTCCCATCACTGTCATTTCCATCTTCTCTCTGTGGACCTCAGCATGGCCTTTTCTTCCACAGGGAGGTGCCAGCAGAGCTTCGGAGGCTAGCTCACGGTGGACAGGTGAACTTGGATATGGAGGACCATCGGGACGAGGACTTTGTGAAGCCCAAAGGAGCCTTCAAAGCCTTCACTGGCGAGGGTCAGAAACTGGGCAGGTAAGGGGCAGCACAGGTTAGAGCCAGACTCTGTCAATCACACCTGCCAAGCCCAGCAGACCCTGTGTATCACTCACTTTGGTTATTAGCTCTTTACTGTTTACAAAATACTTCAAATTTTATTTGTATGGGAGGAAGAGTGTGGAGAACATGGACTGGAGTTAACAGACCTGAGTTTATATCTCTGCTTCACTTTCTAGCAGTGTGACCTTGGACTATATAGCCTCAGTTTCCTCAACTATAAATTGGTACTAATAAGAGTCCATACCTCCTAGGATTATTGTTGCAAGGAATAAGTGAGCTGATGCATGTAGAACACTGTTCCATAGTGAGCAGTCAATGTAAGCAGAAAGTGTACGTAATTGCTGCTGTGGCTCAGTAATCTAGGGTGTTCAGGGAAGGTGTCATCTCCTTGATGGCTTAAGGCTGAAATGAGGATTCCAAGGGGAATAAGAAATTACAGACTCTTGCCTAGCCAGGCCTCACAGTGTGTTGCTCAGGATGCAGGGACACTCAGGAACCTTGCTGCCCCTTTGCAGGCTGGTGTGCCACCATTATGACAGCTCAGCAGCTCTTATTTCTACTTATTTGGCCCTTCCTGACACTCACTCTGCCACTTGTGACTTTTTCTGCATTGTGTCCTCTGCTACTGCCTTCTCACTCCTGTACCCTCTACTAACAGACATTCTCTATCTTCCATTCAAAGCCTCTGATGATATCTGATTGGTTAATAGTCACTGGTATCCCTCATACGGTTCTCCCACCAGACTCTTGGCCAGCCCATAGGTAGGCTGCCTTCTCTCAGGATCCACTTAGCTTTGGCCATGGCCATGGGGTCACCTGATGAGTGTTCTTCAGAGGGAACTGTGCACATGATAGGCATTTAGAGCATAGTGACCCTCCTTGCCAATATGATCCTTATTTTGTAGAGAGAAAGCTGAGGCTCTTGGATATTAGGGGCCTTTCCTTGGGCACATGGCTGGTGTGTGTTAGAGCCAAGACCCCAGGCCTTCTGACTGGCATTCCTTCCTGCACTCCTGCACAATGAGACATCCTTTCTAACCTAGATCTGGCAGTTCTCAAAGTAGCTACTGCCCTTGCTCACCTCACTATCTTCAGAGATCAAAGCTTGGTCTTCCAACAACCATGCCCTCTGAGCTTCTGGCTGGCCCTCTCCTGGAATCCCTTACCTGCCTGTTGACCATTCATGCCTCATCAGGAGCAAGGGTCAGAGTTCAGGGTATTAGATTTACCTGGCCCAAAGTAGTTAAGTCATCCCTGTTCTCATCATTTCATCTACTGCATCAAGGGCTGTGGACTAGCCCAGGACAGCTATTCTCACAGAGAGTGTCCCTGTCAGTTGTGATGAGCTTTATAGGGCACCTAATTTTTTTTTTCTTTGATTATTAAAATAATACATGTTCATCTTAATAGAAAGTGCAGGTAAAGAATAAAAGCTGTCCTGAAGCTAACACCCAGAAATATCTGGCAAGTGTATCTTTCTTCTCTTACTCATTTGCATGTATTTGTAAACATGCTGTTGTATCACCTGCTTTTTACTTTATCAGTGAAGTATGGCTATCATCCTTTATCAGTAAGCTTATTTCTACACTTTTAATTATAATGCTTACATAATTTTCTAGCCCATAAATGTGCCATAATTTAACCAGTCCTTGCTGTTAAACATTTAGGCAGCTACCAGAATTACAACATTGCAGTGAATATCTCTGTGATTAAATCTTTGTACACTTGGGCTAGACATATGATTATTGTTTCAAAAGGGCTTCATACTTTTAAGATGTCAAATTGCCCTTCAAAAAGGCTATATTTTTTATGCCCACCACCAGTTACAAGGGAGGGCTCAGAACTTCAGAACACCATGCACTTTGGGTATGATTTTATAATACTAACAGGAAATGTTTCTATTGGAAAGTCTAACCATATTATGTGTGTGAAACTCTGCATCTCAGAAAATTAAAATATCTTTAAAGTCTATTTTAGCATGATAGGAATAAATATTAATGTGGAGAATGAGCACAAGATAGAACTTGATATCACCATGATGTTTATCAACAAAGTGTTCACTGCCAGTTCCACTTGCATTTTATTTCAGTTCTGGCTTTTTATGAAAACTTAGCTTAAAAAAAAAACAGCCACAGTTTTATAAAGTTAAGTGAGATGGGACTTTAGCTTTTCAGTCTAAATCAGGACAGCTGCTTTAGTTTTTCTCATAAATTTTACTATGTTTTTCATTGTCTTGTGAACCAAAATGATCAGAAGCCAAAAGTCTTGAACTTTTCTTGAAATTTTTCCTGAAAATTTTCTCAGATTTGCTTCAAAAATCAGTCAGTACTGGGCTTTTTCAAAATCTTAATTATCTGGGAAAATACTTCAAGTGAATGAATAAGTTGTCTCAGTTAAAATATTTTGAGAAAATTCAGTTGTATTAAATTTTTTTTGTTGTTTTAGTAAAAGGCAAAAGATGTATACAATCTGAAGAGAAACCGGAGAATTTTGTTGTTGTTTTAGGTTTTACGTTAGTTTGTTTGAGTTGGGAGCTGATCTGAAGGTTCGAATTGCAAACAGCAAGAGTGCACTTGGGAGGAGGGGTCACTGCTGCTGGAAGTGAGCTTTAGCTGCTCCCGTGCCTTCTGTAGTGGTTATTTTTGTGGAGAAGATGGCTGGTCTCAGGATTTGTAACTGTGGCAAGAAAGTACCTAGTGCCAGTTTATTCCCCCTGTAAAGATAGGAGGAGTTGGGTGATTCGGGCTCTTGAATTGAGACTCATTTTCCCCATAACTTACGATGTTTGCAGGGAGACACCAAAAAACACTATTTATAGACGTCTGCTCTAACCTTTCCTGCCTGTGAATCAAGCACCCTCACAGCTGCAGATGGCCAGCCGCTCACTGGGAGCAGTAGCCCAGCTGTTGGCAGTTCTCAGGAAGAGCTGGCAGGCCAGCTCCTTTGAACAGATGCGTGTGGCTGCCCTGCGGGATGATTAGAGCACTATGGAACTAATATTCTTTGAATGATGTGCTCTTATTATTTGAAAAATCAGGAGGCCTGGTCTTCAGGTTTCCCCTCCTCTTCCACTCCCCATCCTCCTTGAGAGCAGTATAGACTGGGAATGCCTGTCAGGTGACCTTCCACTTACAGCCCATGGCAGCTGATAGCATTTCTAGTCGATTTTGGTCCAGAATTGAGGCAAATATAAGTGGGGCAGGACCTTGAAGAATGATATAATTAGTTAGTCGAGTGTTTTATGTTGTTAGCTAAGCGCTATGCTAAGTATTTCATTTATTTTATCTTCTTTAATCCTGTTTTAATCCCCATTCTACAAAGAAGGATCCTGAGACTTGGTGAGATCCATATTGCTGGCCAGTGCAGAGCTGGGTCCCTCCAGTCTCTGCCTTTACCTGCCAACCTGCATAGCATCCTGGATATTCTTGCATAGCCACATAGACATTTGTTTGTACTTTTAGTATGTGTTGGGTACAGTGCATGTTTTTAGCTATTTTCTCAAGTATCTGGGAAGTTTTAACTCTGTTTTATTGATGAGGAAACTGGGTCTTGAAATCCAGGCCTATACCTGTCTGAGTGTAAGGCCCAACAGGAGAGTGGGACAGTGTGAAGAGCACAGGATGGAGAGCCAAATAGCTCGGATTGTATACTGCCTCTACCGTGAACCAACACTGGGATTTTGGGCAAGTTGCTTCACCCTGCTGTGCCTCAGTTTCTTCATCTGTAATGAATCCCTACCTCATAGGCTGGGGGTTAAGCCTGTGGGTTAAGTAAGTTAATACATGTGAAGTACTCAGCACAGGGCCTGGCTTAGGAATGGGTGCCTCATAAATAGTCACCATGTTTATCAGGCCACCCTGCCTCACCTAATTTTTAGGGAGTGTGTAAGAGAAACAGCCAGTCAGAAGCTACACAGCCAAGTCCAGGCATCAGGCTTTCCTCATCTCTTCCAGTGATGACCCACCAGCAGTCTGCAATGGGACGTGCTGGGAAGCAAACCCAAACAGCAGCTGCTTCCTTGTGTGGAGGATTTCCTAAATACCAGGCCTTGCGTGCACATTATCTCGTCTCATCCTCACAACAGAACAGCTCCTCATTTTACACACAAAGACACTGAAGCCCTGGGAAGTTGTGACTTGCTTAAGGCCACACTGTCTGTTTAGAGGCAGAGCAGAGGCCAAATGGTGGTGGCTCAGCTCCAAAGCTTGTGCCATTTCTCTGGCATCACACCAACTCTCCTTGATAATAGGGACAGTAGGGACTGCTTCCCCAAAAGGCGTGGAGCTGTGGTAAGGAGAGTATCTCCACTTTATAGAAAAGGAAATTGAGGTGCCAAGATGCTCAGTAACTTGCTGAGGGTCATCAGCTCATAAGTGAGGAGTGAAACTCAAGGAGAAGTTTGAGAAAGCATTTCCAATATAAATATTATTTTTCTAAAACCATCGTAATTGTAAAGCTTGACAAAATCCTGGCTGGTGGGAATACACAGAATATATACTGAAAGGAGGCTTGTTCATTGCATTAGTTTTTAAAAATGATCCATAGCGTGTGTGTGTGTTTTCTCATCTATAAAATGGAGATACACCCCTCTCAGAGGATGGTTGTGGTGATTCAGCGAGGTCGTGGCTGTGAAAGCCCCTTTAGACAATACCTGCACAGAGTCGGTGTAAATGTCACTCCTGTTTTTTCTGCTCCCCACCCCCTTAACTGATATCAGCTATTTTGGCTTAACAGCTTCTTTCTCATCTTAGGCCTGCCTGAAAACGTTATAGTTCCCTTTCTGGCAGGCGGTGGTTTCAATGAGTACGTATACTTTGAATTATTATAAATAGTTGAGGGACAGGCTGCCTAAAGTCTAATTGGAGAGTTAACCTAATGTCTGTGAAACTAATGAACAAAACGAGATAGTGTAGATCAGGAATGTCCAGTCTTTTGGCTTCCCTGGGCCACTTTGGAAGAATTGCTTTGGGCCACACATAAAATACACTGATACTAATGATAGCTGATGAGCTAACAACAACAAAAAGCAAAAAAAAAAAAAAACTCATAACATTTTAAGAAAGTTTACAAATTTGTGTTGGGCTGCATTCAAAACTGTCCTGGGTCGCATACGGCCCATGAGCCATGGGTGGTTGGACAAGCTTGGTGCAGAGCTTAGGCATTTACAGGTATATGAGATTTACCTATTCACTATTTCCAATCAACTCTTGTGGCCTATCGTAGTGTCATTTAAACTGTGTGTCCCAGCCCACACTTTTTGAGTCCCACATGCTTTGAGGCTGATGCAGAGAAGCAGCTTCTCTAGTGCTAGTAATGTGGGTGACATTCTCCTCTGAGCTCTACTTTGTAATTCTGTAAGTCCATGTTTTTCACATTCACAGAAAAGAGTAAGTTTGCTTTTCAGTCATTCTTTAATTATATGCTTCAGGGCAATATTTAACTGTGCAATCTCTCAAAACCTTTAATGTGCCAATGGCCTCTGAAGCTGCTAGTGTAATATGTGGCCTTTCCTACACCTTCCTTCCTATGGAACACACTTTGGAAAGCACTTTCAGTTGGATTTGCTCTCAGTACCATTTTTGGGGCTGTGAAGGGGGAAGAGTAAGTTACAAGAACTGATCTAATTAGAGGCTTTGAGGGGAAGCAAATGCTCATCTAGTGGCCTTTCTTCTTTGCAAAGGTCTAAGTCAGGTCATCTGCTAAGAGAAAGACTGGGAGTGAAGTGGACAGGTGGTTTGGAGGAGAGAAGGCGGCTCCATACAGTTGTGGAGAATTGGGAGTCCTATGTGCATTTTGTGTTTGTCAGCCATCCTGAGTGCATTATGCAATTTTCCCCTTTAATCCTAACAAAAACTGAGCAAGGCCTATGCCTTAACCCTTTAAAAATCTAATTACTACCTTTGTTGAAACTAAGGGTGCTTGAGTAATTCAAACCCTGGTCCATGTGATTCTGAGATATGAAATCTAACACTGTGTCTGACACCGTGTCCTGTTCATTGTATGATGAATCCCAGCAGAACCCAGCACTTAATTGGCTTTTCAGTGCCCTTTAGAACTCTCTCCCCTGCCCTCAATAGTGGATGTATGAGTACAGATACACATGGGAGTGAGGTGCACTAGGTAATGCAGGCCTGAAAATTCCATCACAGAAGAAGAATCTGGATTGCTTTGCCTGCATCCTGCCACTCACCTGCCAGGCTGTGCCAAGGCTGCCTCAGCTGCAGACTTGGAACACTCCCCTCCACCACTCCATTGAGGCTAAAACTGACCCTGTTCTATTATGTCTTCCAGCCTTATGACCCTGTCTCTCCCACCCTAGGCTGTCCTGCTTTCCTCCCTTCAAGCCCTTGTTCAGTTGAAGACACCAAGGAGGAAAAAGGCCGAGTAACTTGCCCACATTACTCAGGAGCGAGGGAGCTAGCAATAACGTATGAAATATATGACTCAGGGTTTGAAGTGAATTCTGCTGGACCTGTAAGTTCCATAAGGGCACGATTTTCCCTGTCTGGGTCAATAGATCAGCAGCACCAAACAATGCCAGGCGCATTGCAAATGCTCAGTAACAGTCCAAGAAGGGATTCCCTTCTTGCTAGGGGCCTTGTTTCTGCTTGTGTTCTGATGCCATCCTCTCTCCTCAGCACTGCCCCCCAGGTGTTGAGTACCAGCTCTCCAGCCCAACAGGCAGAAAATGAAGCCAAAGCCAGCTCTTCCATCTTAATCGACGAATCAGAGCCTACCACAAACATCCAAATTCGGCTTGCAGACGGCGGGAGGCTGGTGCAGAAATTTAACCACAGCCACAGGTACCTTGCATTGTGTGGCCTAGCTTATTCTAGGAGTGTCCTCTGGGCCTCACGCAAATGTGTGGGAAGCAGAGAGCCGTTCTTCCTCCTAAATACCAGCAGGCACTCCATGCTTTCCCCAAAGCAGACACGAGGGTGGTAAGGACTACAAGTCTGAAGCCTTAAGTTCTGGTCCCCACTCTTCCATTAGTGTGGCCAGTGACTGTTCACTTCCCCCTGTGTGTCTCATTCTTCATCTGTAAAATTAGAGTATTAGATTTCTCAGGGCTTTTTTTAAGCTACCAGACTTCAGAGGAAGTCCCATGCTAAAGTCCTGTGAAGACATCAAATTAGAACTGCTGTGGTTGATGGAGGAGAAGGGGGTGCAGTGTCAGCGTCCCACTCACCTGGCTTCCTCCACCTCCCTCCCCACAAGGGGCCTGTGAAAATTACTGGGCCAGGAAGATCTCTTCTAGATCTGGCTGTCGAGAATTCTGGGAATGCCTGCTCCACATCTCAGACCATCTGGGCTGGATCAGTGCCTTCTTCATTTTAAAGATGGGGAAACTGAGCCACAGCAAAGTGAAGAGACTAGTAGGAGAGGTGCTAGAGGACTGTTGCCAGTAAATATATTTGGTGCCTCCTTTCTGTAGAACAGAAGTGTCTAAATGTTATTGGTCATGAGCCAACTAAGCCAGCACCCACATGTGGGATCAGTGAATTGTTTGTCAGTCGTTGAATATTGACTGGGCTCGCCTGTGGGTGACAGCGGGAGACAAGCCCCAGCTGTGAGCCAGGTGCATCTAGAGCCTATTGAGACCTCCTTCATCAGGAACATTCATTACACTCAAGTGCCTGGTGGTTAAGCGAGTGACCCATCCCAGTGATGTGAGTTATTTGTCTCAGTTTCATTTCACTCATTAAGCTCAGCACACTGCTGCCCATTCCCAGGGTGGACAGCCCATGCAGAGGCTTTGCTAGGTGAAAAAGCTTGGTTTGCTAAAAGTCACAGGCAGAATCCTGCAGGTCCATGCCCTTAGATGTGCCAAATTGTAAGTTGCATAGATTTTAGGGGTTTGGGGCAAAAAGGAAACTTATGTTTAAGTGCTCTAGGGAAGGAGGCATTGTTTCCAGGTGGTTTCATTGTCATATGATCTCCAGGTTCAGAAGGCAGGTAGTGTCTGGAGAAACGATTCCTGGCCCTGAGAAGTTGACCATTAATTTCTGACAGATAGTTTAAGTGCCTCCTGTGATATACAAAAGAGACACACACTGTCCTTGTGAAATTCATGAGCTGCAGGAGGAGACACTAATCAGATCATCCCAGAAACGTGGAAGGAGGGCCAGGGATGGAGCCAAGGAGCTAAGGAGGGCTTTCCTGAGGAGGTGGCATTGGATCCGAGGCCTGAGTTGTGATTAGGATTACAGAAAGGGGATCAGGCAGGGGAGCCTCTGGAAAGAAGGACCCAAATGTGGGAAGAGAGTATGGCCTGATGAACTAGAAGCGGGCAGAAGAGAACGAGGGGAAAGAGGGTGGTATAAAATTAGGTCCTTGGGAACACAGTAGGGTTGTTGGTGTTTATCTCAAGGAAAATGGAAACAACAGTGAAGGACTCTTGGCAAGGAAGGGACTTGGTCCCACATGCCTGAGCGTAGCTTTCGCTGTTCTGTGGAGAAAGTCAGGAAAGGGGATTTGCGAGGTGTTTAGCTTTCCACAGGGCAGGGGTATGGACAGCAGAGGATGGCACTGCTCACCGCTTCCCCAACTCCTGCAGGATCAGCGACATCCGACTCTTCATCGTGGATGCCCGGCCAGCCATGGCTGCCACCAGCTTTATCCTCATGACTACTTTCCCGAACAAAGAGCTGGCTGATGAGAGCCAGACCCTGAAGGAAGCCAACCTGCTCAATGCTGTCATCGTGCAGCGGTTAACATAACCGCCCAGCCAGCTGCCTGGCCTCCCTCCTGTGTTTCCCATGGCCAGTGGCCATGCCCCATGGGGATCGCCCCTCCTGCCCCCTTGTGCACACCCAGCAGTCCAGTGCAACGTCTCCTCCATAGCTCTGGGTTCTTAGATCTTGGTTGGACGTTTGTTTTCTCCTTAGTTGCATTTCCTGGGTTTTTGTGATGATCAATGGACTTTAATGAAAAAAAAAATAAAAACAACCAAAAAAATTGAAGGAATATCACCAGCATGTTGTACGGAAACTCTCCCACTGAAGCAGGCTTTAATTGCTTTAAAATTATATTTATCTTGGGGCCTGTGGGAGGAAACTTCCTTCCATCTTCTCTGCATAAAAACTTGTGGCACACAATGCTTATTCACTAGTGTGTCCCACCCGCCAGCCCCACAGATGACTGGAGGAAGGAGGGGAAATGTGTAGAAAGAGGCTTCGCCACCACTTGTTCCCACGAGAATATGTCACTTGCCCAGATAAAACTGGGCGGCAGCCAGAGTTCCCTGAAGTGGGAAGTCAGAGCTCCATGCACACAGTGTCTTCAGAAGGTGAAAATAAATATTTCCCTGTGCTCCTTTTACTCAACCCCTGGGGTATCTAATCTTGCCAGGTCTTGGCCAGTTGAGATTCTGTTCCACCTGCCTGCCTGGCCCTTTCCTCCATTACCATCCAGACTGCTCGCCTCCTGGGGATTCTCAGGGGCTCCATTATGGCTTGATTTACTCCACGTGCAGAAGTCTTGAGTGGACCTAGGAGGTAGGTGGGATATTTTTTTTCACTAGGATACAGCTCATGCCAACCCATCCTAAGTGAGTTCAGAATCAGGGTATCTTGCCCTATAAGATAAACAGTCAAAATGCCACCGAGCTGTTCACTAGTGATGTGTGGCAAATCAAATCAACTGTTGAAGAAGGGGTGAGTTTTCTGTGCTACAAGCACCTGTCACTGTTGGTACTTGCAGGAGGCTTCTGCTGGGTATGTTTTGGAAGTGAGTGTCACTACTTGGCTTTGCTTAGCAGGTTCTGCTTCACACTTGTTCTTTGACCTGCTGACTTGTGACTTGCAGAAACATAGGCAGTAGTCCTAGCCTGGTAAAGACCCTCCACCACCCCTATAAGTTTGATTGCTATGCAGGTTTGGGAGAGGAGGCCTATTGGGCTCTTGGATGGAACCCTTTCCCGTATTAAACAAACCAGAGACAGAATCAGTGCTGACTCAGGATCTCCTGGTTTGGAATCGTAATGTGCCTCAATCCTCTTTCCAAGCAGGCCTCACCAGTCTCTTTCTCTTTCCTGCTTCACCCCTGCAATGAGCCAAGAACCAACACTACATCCACCTAGAACTGCAGAAGGGCTTGTGGTTTCAACCAAGACCCATCCTGAGCAAGGGACTTGGCTTGGTGCTTTTGATCCCAAAGTTCCCACACCGGCAGTGGCCTGCTGGGGCAATGGCATCTGTCACGGTGTTTTCTCCAGCAGGTGGAGATTATGGAACCTACATATGGGTCTGGAAAAACTGTACACTGTTGTCACCTTGACCATTAAAAACCAGAATGAGGACAATGGAGTTTTGTACTTTCTAATGGGTTGCTTTGACGGAAACTACAGCAGCCAGCAGAAGTACTTAAGTGCTTCACAAAGGTCCCACTTTACAGTGCAAAACCTTGAGCCCCAGTCACACTGCTAGTAAGTGGTAAGGTACTGCCTCTTCCCATCCAGAGCCCACGTTCAGCCACCATGGAGTGCAGTATACACTCCATCCCTAACTGCCAGGCCCATATACATACACTTGACCTCCCCCTACCTCCTTCTCACAGTGTCTGCTTAATTAATTAGTATATTGCAGAAGAGATTGTAAAAACACCCACTTAAAACCTGTATCATCTACGGTAGTTTGCACAGGGCCCCCAGCACCTCTGGGAAGTAAGCGAGGCAGGTGATCTAACTCTTACCTATATTGTTGATGCAGCCACCACAGTTGAGAGACAGTCCCTCTGACCTTGGACCAGGGATCACACTGGTCTGGTTCCAGGCTGGGGAAGGATGTTCCCAGCCCTAGTTTTCTGTTTTGGGCAGTCCAGATGGAAAGGCCCATCCACCCAGATAGGTTTTCACAGGTTTAGAAGAAAAAGGATACTCAGCCACTGGTTCCGGGGCTTCTGAATTCAGTTCTCAACTGGGGCATTTTGGATCTCCCCAAAAACTGGTTGGTAAGAGAACCTCCTGGCATTAAATGGGCCAGGACAAGGATGCATGTCAGTTCATTGGATATGCCTTGATAGATACCCAAAACTCATCAAAATGAAAAATAGGCAAAGTAATTGTCATGATGCCCTTTCTAAAAGTGCAGTTTTAACTAGTCTTTGCTGTGGGATGTGGGTTGTTTGATCTTGTTAACAATCATGCCCAGCAACCCTGTAGGTAGAGTCTTGCACAGATCCGGCTGCTTCCTCAGTAGAAGGCCAGGGAAGAAGCAGGCATGTGGTCAAGAGCTAGGCATGGCTTTAATGGCGTTCCAAAGTGTCTTCCAGAGGGGCAGCGGCCCTTTTCATACCCATCCATAGGACAAAGCATGCCCTTCCCTGCCAGGAGCTTAAAGATGACTTAGAGCTCATTCAGGGGAAGCAGCTGGTACAGAAATAAGGGTTCCCTGCTGCTCCCTGTCTCCTAACTCCCAGCATTTCAGAGAGAACTGCCAACTCCTGATTCCCAGGCCCAAATAAAAGGCCTTCCTTCTTTAAATGGGCGTTGGGCTCCTGTGTTGAGGGTGTGTGGCTGGGGATCCCAGTCCCCCTCTTCCAGGCCACACTCTTCCCAGGCCAGGACAGGGAAGCAGAGTAGAAAACACTTTTTGACTTGTAGCATCTGACCCAGGTCCCAGTCTGAGCTCCTGCACTGTGACTGTGCCTCTCTGTTTCGGTGGCCTCATCTCATGCCATGTCCAGTCCATCAGCAATCCTCTGGGTGCCCCTGGTCACCCCTCCCCTACGATCATCTGGGCCAGCCTCCGTAGTCACTCACCTATGACTGCAGAATCTCATCAGTCCCCCAGCTTCTGCCCTTGCCCCACCCAGGCAAAGGGCTTCTTTGGCACCATTAACCACAGCCTGCCACTCCCATCCTTTAACGTCCTTGGGAGCTTTCCATTACCCCTGGAAACTTCTAAGACCTGCAGAGCCCCATAGGCCCTGGCCCCTTCCCACCACCCTCCATCCCTTTGACCTGCTTCATTTTTCTTCTCTCTGCTCCATCTAATATGTACTCTATTTATTAACGTGCTTGTTTCCTTGGTCCCCCCACTAGCTTATAAACTCCATGAGGGCAGAAATGCCTGTTCCTCACTCTTGTATCCGGAGCAGGTGGCATGGTGTCTGACGCATAGTAGATCCTCAACAAGTGCGTGCTTGGATGAACCTGTGAAATGGAGACCAGACCTTATCTAAAAGGATGGAAGGCAAGAAGGCTTTTAAAGCACCCCCATGTGGTGCCTGCTTGGGAACTGCAGTCCCTCCTCCCAAAGCAGGTTCTCAGCCATGAGGGGGCGTCCTAAAGGGCACCTAGAGCCACAGGGTGTTCCTGCAACAGGTGCTAAGAAGATGTGTCTGGGGTAGGAAGCGGGTGTGACAGGAATGTCCCCAGTCCCTTCTTGCCCTGTCTCAGCTGGACCAAGAGGTTTATTAAGGGCCAGTTACCCTCCGTGTTGAGCAACTGAGAACCTCAATGCCAGGACTAGGACTTGCTACTACTAATCGTAATAGCAGCTGCCATCATTTGAGCACTCACTTTGTGCCAGGCCGTTTGTGCCTTAACAACCCAAGGGTACCATGGTTAGCCCACTATGGAAGAAGTTACTGAGGCTTAGAGCGGTGATGGGACTTGCCTGAAGCCACACACGGAGTAAGAGGCATTTGAATCCCCAACTACCTGAACGCAGAGCCACAGCCCTTGACCCCGAGGCTCTACTGCTGTGAAAAAGGCAGGCACAAAGGCAGTGGCAGGAGGGACGATTGGGTCGGGCAGGGAGGGACAGGGAAAACGGAAGCGGACACCCTTGAACTGGGTTGTGAAGGGTGATTAAAGGTTGGTTCTCTGACGAAAAGGCAAAAAAGTTGTCCTTCCTCAAGAGACAAACTCAGAGGGCATGTGGAGGCTTGGGGCAGGCTTTGAACTTAGGTTCCATCTTATACCAGGCATGACCTTAGACAAGTCACCTAAGCTTCTCTGAGCCTTGGCTTCCTCATTCAGAAAACAGGGATAATGGTAGTTCCTACCTCTTAGACTATGGGGATTAAAGATGTCTGTGAAGCCCTTGACGCATAGGAGGAACTTTATGAATGACAATAGGTGCTGCTGTGTAGCCCTTACCATGTGCCGGGCGCTGTCAAACACTTGAGCATGATCTCATTAATTCTCAACACTCCTGTGAAACAGGTGCTTTTATTATTCACATCTTTACAGAGAATGAAATTGAGTGCCTTGCACGTGGTAGACAACCTGGCCATTAAACGTCTATTGGTTAAATGATCGGAGAATCAGAGAGGAGAAAGCAGTCAAGGACACACTACTAATAAATGACAACTGAGTTTGAACCAAGGGCCATCTAACTCCATCCTCCTGGCCTGGCCTCTGTACCATGAGCTTATTTTAAGTCAGCTCTGGGTGAACCACCTGCAGCAGGAAAAGCTCAGGCTTAGGAGTCAGCCTGCTGGGTACTAGCTGTGTGGCCTCGGCAGGTTCCTTAGTTTGATCATCCATGTGACAATATACTAAGATGGAATTATTTCCATCCCAATTTGGCTGGGTTCCCAAGGCAATAGGGGGCCTAGCTACTCCACCTCCCAGGATGAATTGCTGTCCACACACAGGGCTTTCAAAGACATGGTCAAAAACTAGCTGTGTGTCTCCTTGCCTCTTTCCCACACCAAAGACGTTAAAGGTTCAAGTTGGAGCTCTGAGAAGAGTTTTCTTTAAAGGAAGTTACTGGAGGGCTTTGAGTGCACAGGGGAAGGGGGAGCTTTCCTTCTCCCTCAGCCTAGGGATTGGTGTCTCAAGGAGACCACTCAAGAGCTTGGAGATGACGAAGGTGCCAGGCACCCACCTCACACCTGAGCAATCTTGAAAGCAAGAGGCTGATGAAGCAAAGAGAACTTGGTGTGAAGGAGCTTGTGCTATAAGTCCCATCAGCCAAATGTGGACCCATGAGGCAGCCAGACTGGACTGTCCTGGGTCTTGCTCTGGAAGGACAGAGGGACCTTAGTGCAAGATAGACCTTGGGTTGCAGGACTGAGGGAGGAGTTACAAGCAGCCAGCTAGAGAATCTATTGGCTTCCTCAAGGGAAGTGAACCAAGATCTGAAGAACCAACAAGTGCACCCTAGAGGGAAGCCCAGAGCATCTGCACCGGCCACAGGAAACCAGCAGGCCCTTCCCCATGTCCCCTGCGACCCTGCCCCTGAGAGAGGGAAGAAGCTGTACTTCTAAATGAAGTTCAAAATCTTGACTATGACCTGGGAATGGCCTTTTTAAAAAAAATTACTTTTAAATAGGTAATATATTTACATGGTGCCAAAAAATGTCTTAGATACCTCCCTTCTTATCCATGCCATTTGCCCAATTTCCCCTCCCTCCCTCCCTCCCCACTATAAGTTTCTTAGTTGTCCTTGCAGAGTTCCTAAATACAAGCCGATACTCTCTGTCTATTCTGAGGCATCCATTGTTTCCCATATTTTAGCAACTCTGAAATCAGAATGCATCATACAAGAAGGCAGTCCTGGTGTCACCTAATACCTTAACATATTTATTTTGTCTATATGTTTCCTTTTTATTTGTGCCCAAAGTTGATATGATATAAATTCATGTCTAAATAAGTCTAAATGAGTTCTCAAATATAAAATTCTAAGCATTGTGCCAATTTAATCAGCAATGGTCTTTCTTAGTGGCATATAAATTAATGGTGGCTTTGTCACTCCTGGCATCTTAGATCCAATAGATCTGCAGCGATTCTTATTCACAAGTGTGTCAGCCTGCCCACCACTATCTACATCTTTTTCCATTTAACAGTAGATTTTGGAGGTCATTTGTTGTGAAGGACATGTGGGTGTCTCCTGGGTTTTGCTGTTACAAACAGTACTACAGTGGCAAAGCTTGTATATGCAAATGTGTAAAGAGTAAATTCCCAGATGTGTAAGTGCTATTTACTCTTGCACCCGCAGTGGACTTGAGAGCCTGTTTTCCCACAGATTCGCCAGCAGGGTGCGCTGTGAGCATTTGCCTGTCAGGTAAGTGAGCAGTGGATTCACAGTGTGGTTTTGTTTGCATTAATACCAGTTGTTGTTGTTGTTGTTTTGTTGTTGTTGTTGTTGTTGTTTGAGACAGAGTCTCACTCTGTTGCACAGGCTGGAGGGCAGTGGTGCGATCTTGGCTCACTGCAACCTCTGCCTCCTGGACTCAAGAGATTCTTCTGCCTCAGCCTCCCAAGTAGCTAAGATTACAAGCACGCACCACCACGCCCAGCTAATTTTTGTATTTTTAATAGAGAGGGGGTTTCACCATGTTGGCCAGCCTGGTCTCAAAGTCCTGACCTCAGGTAGTCCACCCGCCTCAGCCCCCCAAAGTGCTGAAATTACAGGCATGAGCAACCGCGCCCAGCCCATGAATACTATTTATTGAGTATTTTTCTGTACCACATTATTAACTACATATTTCTCATGAATCATCCCATTTAATCCTCAGGCAAGCCCTATAAGACAGGTACCATTTTTAATTCTATTTTAGATATGAGGGTGAGAGAGGTTAAGCAACATGCCTATTCCACCTAGCCAGCATGTGCAAGTCCACAATTTTATGATAAATTTACCTTAGTTTTTTCTTTTTTTTTTTTTTTTTTTTTTGAGACGGAGTCTTATTCTGTCACCCAGGCTGGAGTGCAGTGTCATGATCTCAGCTCACTGCAACCTCCATCTCCCAGGTTCAGGCAGTTCTCCAGCCTCAGCCTCCTGAGTAGTTGGGATTACAGGCATGTGCCACCACACCCAGCTGATTTTTGTATTTTTTAGTAGAGATGGGGTTTTGCCATGTTGCCCAAGCTAGTCTCAAACTCCCGACCTCAGGTGATCCGCCCACCTCGGCCTCCCAGAGTGCCGGGATTACAGGTGTGAGCCACCGTGCCTGGCGATAAATTTGACCTTAGTATGTTTATTTCGGAGCTTGTACTCTTAATCACTCTGCATATTGCCTCCCTTAACATTTACTTGTGCATAAAGTGTTGAATAATATCCAACTTAGGCTTGAATGTTGAATGTTTCCAGCTTAGGGTTTCCTGGAATGATGAATACTAGCATCTTATTCATAATGATCTGATCATAACATCTATGCAAATTTTAGTTATTCCTACTTCAGGATGGTATTCAAAGTCTTCATCGTATGTGGCCAATCTTTGATGAGTTGGTAAAATCTATATAATATAACCTGTTCATTTTTCAGGTATGTGAGCACATAATTATGTTTCTTTAGGATACTGCTTGCTATGGTTGCGGATTTTCTAACTTGCTTTCTCTGTTTTTTTTAGAACATTTTTGTGGGTATGAGAAATTGATGAATATTGTTATTCATGTTCTCAAAGAAAAAATATGCTGATTGGATCACCTCTTCTTTCCTTCCTTCCTTCCAATTGCACCAACTTCCCTGATGGGCATGGCTCCCTTCACTGTCGGGTTGGATTCTCATTACTGTCTTTTGGAGATGCCTGGGATGCACTGCATTGTACAGACAACTGCCTTCATCTTTGGAATGAGTTTTAAGTTGTCTTGTAATAGCTCTTTTGGCTTCACTGATAGAAGGACCCAGATAAGAATACAGTTTTTTCGCATTGTATTTATTAGTGTTCTAAAATATCTTTTTCTTGAAGAGTCTTATGATCAAGCACCCTGTATTTTAGGAAATTCAGCTGTTGTAAATCTACTTTTTTTAAAGTTCTTATTACAGCATGTAACAAATTACAAAAACATGTAATTTGTAAAAAAAAAAAAAAAATCCTAGGAGACTTAAACAAAAACAATCACCAGCTACCTGAAAACTCAGAAAAATTTGGCCTTGTGCCCCCCAGTTGAGTCAGTTAATGAAGAGATTTTGAATAATGACCATGAGGGCAAACTGCCCAAATCAGGTTCTCAGCTCTGCCATTTATTAGCTCTGAGACCCTGGGCAACCCAACAGCCCCTCTGGGCCTCCTTTTCTTCATCTGCAAAATGGGTATGTCAGTATAACTGATACAGAATAGGTGAGCCCCAAAATTGGTGCTTATCCCAGAAGGGTCCTTAGCTTTTAAGGACAAGCCAGTGGAATTGGCAATCTTTTGTTGAACAGTACTGCTCTTTGTAGAGCAAGGATAACTCCTAGGCAGTGCACTTCAGTCAGCAACATATGGGCTCCTGGCAACTGTATACTCACATAAACCCATTTTTAATTACATGCAAATTAAGGGGCAAGCCAATGCAAACTGAGGGACAGGTTATTTAGAACTTCCTAGGAAAGGGGTGGTAACTTCCAGGTAATTACCATGACATTTGTAAACTGTCATGGTGCTTGTGGGAGTGTCATATGCTAATGAGCAATGAGGGCAGCTAGGGATCACTTTCCTCACCATCTGCTGGTTCCTGCGGTTTCTTCACTTTGTGTAGACCACATCCTGTTTTGGTCAGCAGGGTTGTGACCAGAAAATAAGTTCTGCCAGACTGCTGCCTCATAAGAGTTGTTATACATTTGGCCATATGAGTGAGTATTAACTGTTAACCATTTTCTAATTCATTTAATTTTTAAAATTATCATACAGTAAAATTAACTATGTTGTATATAATTATACAGATTTCAGCACACGTATAGATTCATGTAACCACCACTACAATCAGGACACAAAACAATTCCATCATCCCAGAACCTCCCTCATGCAATGCCTTGATAGTCACACTACCCCTCAAACCCAATCCCTGACAGCCACTGATCTCTTCTTCATCATTGTGGTTTTGTCTTTTCCAGAACATCATGTAAATGGAAGCATACAGCATTTAACCTTTGGAGACTGGCCTCTTAGCATAATTCCTCTGAGATTCATCTGGAGGAACAATTTTCATATGTTGTGCTTATGGAAAGTTCATTGTTTTTTCATTGCCAAGTAATAGTCCATGATATGAATGTGCAACAATCTGTCTATCTGTTCAACCATTAGAGGATATTTGGGTTGTTGCCAGTTTGGGGCAATTAGAAATAGAGCTGCTATAAACATTCATGTACAGGTTTTTCTGTGAACAAAATTTTCCTTTCTCTAGGGCAGCAGTCCCCAATCTTTTTGGCATCAGGGACAGGTTTCGTGGAAGACAATTTTTCCACAGACTTAGGGAGTAGGGCGGATGGTTTCGGGATGATTCAAGCACATTTACATTTATTGTGCATTTTATTTCTATTGTTATTACATTGTAATATATAATGAAATAATTATACAATTCACCGTAATGTAGAATCAGTGGGAGCCCTGAGCTTGTTTTCCTGCAACTGGATGGTCCCATCTTGGGGTGTTGGGAGACAGCGACAGATCATCAGGCATTAGATTCTCATGAGAAGCACACAGTCTAGATCCCCTACATGCACAGTTCACAATAGGGTTTGCACTTCTATGAGAATCTAATGCTGCTGCTGATCTGATCTGACAGGAGGTGGAGTTCAGGTGGCAAGCAGTGGGGCAAGGCTATAAATATAGATAAAGCTTTGCTCACTCACCAGCCTCTCACCTCCTCTGTGCGGCTGGTTCCTAACAGGCCATGGACTGATACTGGTTCATGACCTAGGTTTTGGGGACCTCTGCTCTAGGGTGAATACTCTAGAGATGTCTAGGGTCTGGGGTGGCTGGGTTATATGGTAAGTGTATGTTTAACTTTATTTAAAACTGTCAAATCATTTCCCAGAGTGGCTGTTGCACTGCACATTCCTGTCAGCAATATATGAGATTTTTGGGTGCTACTTAGCTTCACCAACACTTGGTATTGTCAGCATTTTTATTTTAGTCATTTTAATAGGTGTGTAGTTATCTCTTGTCATGGTTTTGACATTAGCATGTCTTGTGATGCTAATGATGCTGAACATCTTTTCATATGCCATTTGCCACCCATAAATCCTTTTTGATAAAGCATTTTTAAGAGTCCTTGCCGGCCAGGCATGGTGGCTCATGCCTGTAATCCCAGCACTTTGGGAAGCTGAGGTGGGCAGATCACAAGGTCAGGAGATCGAGACCATCCTGGCTAACATGGTGAAAACCCGTCTCTACTAAAAATACAAAAAATTAGCCGGGCGTGGTGGCGGGTGCCTGTAGTCCCAGCTACTTGGAGGGCTGAGGCAGGAGAATGGCGTGAACCCAGGAGGCGGAGCTTGCAGTGAGGCGAGATGGTGCCACTGCACTCCAGCCTAGGTGAGAGTGCAAGACTCCGTCTCCAAAAAAAAAAAAAAAAAGAGTCCTTGCCTTTTTGTTTATTGGATTATTTGTTTTCTTACTGTTGGATTTTGAGAATTCTTTACAAATTGTGATTACAAAAATATAAATGCAGAATATCTATGAGTCCACCGTTACCTTGATATCAAAGGTATGATTCTATGAGTCCACCGTTACCTTGATATCAAAGGCAGACAAAACGACTGTCCGGTATATCTTATGAATATAGACTCAAAAAATCCTCAACAAAATAGCAAACCAAATCCAGTAGCACATTCAAAGGATTATAGATCATGACCAAGTGGGATTTCTCCCAGAAATGCAAGGGTGGCTCAACATAAGAAAAAAAAAAATCCATCAATGTAACACAACTCTGTAAAGAGGGAAATGATATCACAATAGATACATTAAATGCATGCAACAAAATTCAACACTTCAAACACTTTCAGGATACAAACACTCACCAACAAATCAGAATACAGAGAACTTCCTTAACATGATAAAGGTCACTTACACAAAACCCACAACTCACATTATACTCAATGGTAAAAGAGCAGAAGCTTCCCCACTGAGCAGGAACAAGACAAGAATGCCCATTTTTACCACTACTATTAAATATTGTACTGGAAGTCCTAGCCAGAGCAGTTAGGCAAGAAAAAGCAATAAACAGCCTCCAAACTGGAAAGGAAGCAGTAAAGTTATCTCTATTTGAAGATGAAATAATTCTATGTATAGAAAATATAACAATACCAAAATGCACACAACTACTAGAGCCAATAAACAAATTCAACATAGTTGCAGATTGCAAGATCAGTGCACGAAAGTCCATTTTCTATGCATCAGCAATGAACAGTCTGAAAATGAAATTAAGTAACAATTCCATTTATAACAGCATCCAAAAGAGTAAAATACTTAAACCAAGGAGAAAGACTTCTATGCTGAAAACTACAAAACATTGCTGAAAGAAATTAAAGAAGACCTAAATAAATGGAAGACAACACATGTTGATGTATTGGAATATTAATTGCAAATGATCCACAGATTCAATGCAACCCCTATCAAAATTCCAATGGCATTTCCTAAGGAAATAGAAAAACTAATCCTCAAATTTATGTGGAACTGGAATGAACCCCAAGTAGTCAAAATACTATTGAAAAAGAAACACACCAAAAAAGAAAGAAAAAGAAACACAAAGTTTCAGGGCTCATGCTTCCAGATTTCCAAACATGCTCCAAACTTCTATAATCAAACCAGTGTGGTACTGACATAAGGACAGACATATACACCAGTGGAATATAATTGACAGCCTAGAAATAAATATCTATGGCTAATTGATTTTCAATAAGTGTTCAGCACAACTCAATGGGGAAAGAATAGTCTCTTCAACAAACAGTGCCGGGGCAACTGCATAATCACAGGCAAAAGAATGAAGCTGGACCCGTACCTCACTCCATACACAAAAATTAACTCAAAATGGATCAATGACCCAAATACAAGAGGAAAACATAGGGGTAAACTATTTAGAGAAAAACATAGGAGTAAATATTTATAACCTCAGACTTGGCAATGGATTCTTAGATTTGACACCAAAAGCATGAGCAACAAAAGGAAGAAATGGATAAATTAGACTTCATAAAAAGTAAAACCATTTGCACAATAAAATATATTATCTAGAAAGTAGAAACACAGCCCACAAAATGAGAGAAAGTATTTGCAAATAATGGACTTGTATCCAGAATATATAAAGAACACTTAAAACTCAACCACAAAAAAAAAAAAAAAAATTAAGAAATAGGCAAAGAACCTGAATAGACATATCTCCAGAGAAGACATACAAATGGCCAATAAGCACATGAAAGCATGTTCAGCATCATTTGTTACTAAAGAAATGCAAATGAAAACCACAGTGGGATACCACTTAACACCTGCAAGAGATAAACCACTTCACACCCGCTAGGATAACTATAATCAAAAACATGGAAAATAGCAAATGTTGATAAGGATATGGAGAAATAGAAACTTGTACACTGGGATCACACAATAGAGAACACTGTAGTAACATTTTGGTCTGCTCACAAGACCCAGAACATTTACCAGTTTTTGTTGTTGGTTTATTATTTTTCTGTTAAAAAAAATTGTGAAAAGTTTGTTTTAGCTGGATGATATTTTAATAGTTGCCAGTGCTTTGGAACTATGTAGATGTCACTACTTAACACATATACCTTATGTTTTGTTTTATTTTGTTTTACACTCAGTATAAATCAGGAACATTTAGCCAACCACCTAGCATTTAGAATCCTCTTTTTTATTGGCTTCTAAGGATATGGATGTTCCCATAACAGCAACAAAAACATTTTATAAATATCACTTGATAGACTTTAAGCACCTGCTTAACTCTGAATGTGTCCCAAATATTTAGTGTAGATAGATAGATAGATATTCAACAAATAAAGCAAAATATAACATGCATTTCACATTTTGTCTTTCCCTGTTACAATTTTAATAGCAGAACTGTATGACAAATTTAGGTGATCCTAGCATATGTTAAATTCAAATTAATGTAAAACAGATCAACAACAACAAAGAAACTCTATTTGAGCGAAGTCATGCTTTCTATTATAATAACTTGGCTTCGGTTATCCATCAAATGCACACTTACACTGTTGTCTGATTGTTTATAATAAAGAATACTGAACCTATAAAAGAAAAAAGAAACCCTTGTCACTGTTGGAAGTTGCTGTGGAAAACAATTTGGTGGCTCCTCAAAAAGCTAAACATAGAATTACATATGACCCAGAAATTCCACTCTTAGGAATTATATTAGTCAGAGTTCTCCAGAGAAACAGAACCAATGCAATACATATAGAGAAGATTTATTATGGGAATTGTTTCATGCAATTACAGAGGCCAAGAAGTCCCATGACATACTATTTACAAGCTGAAGAACCAGGAAAGATGGTGATGTAATTCAGTTGAAGTCTGAGAGCCTGAGAATCAGGGAAGCCAGTGGTGTAACTCCCACTCCAAGGCCTAAGGTCTGAGAATCTGGGGGTGGGAGGCTATTGATATAAGCCTTAGAGTCCAAAAGCCTGAGAACCAAGAGCTCCATTGTCTGAGAGCAGGAGAAGGTGATCCAGCTGAAAAAGAGAGAGAATTTGCACTTCCTCCACATTTTTGTTCTATTTTAATGGGCCTTCAACACCGAAGTTCATCCATGATGTCTGCCCACACTGGGGAGGATGATCTTCTTTACTCCATCCACTGATTCAAATACTAATCTA